>NC_000001.11:236638667-236790182 GCF_000001405.40 Homo sapiens
AATTCTTTTAGGGCAGATTCAATGTTGGTTTTATCTTTTTATATCTGTCTGGTTGTAGTTCAGTGCCTTGATCATGGTAAGTATTAAATTGATGTTTGTTGGCTGATGTCTGGTCTGCTGGGGTCGCAAATTTTCAAGATGCACGCAGAGGTAATGGGGTTGGACAAGTTTTGCTAAAACATATTCATCTTTTAAACGCATAAACTGTATTCTCTTCCAGAGCACATTTCCAACATCAAATATTGAAGACGTCTACACACTTGATTTTATTTTTTCCATGACAGATAGGCTCATTAGATGGGACACTTCAGGCCAAGAATGACATACGACTTCATAACATTCTCTGTCCGTGATGTTGTCATAAGCACTTAGCCCCAGTTCATTTAGCTTATATAGTACTGGCCGCCAACATCATCTGAGGTTACAATATTGTTCAGGCGTCTCACGTCATCACTTTCCATTCCCTCTAGCTCCGAGAGTCTCATTTTAGCCGTGGGGATCACGTGGCATGGCATGTCTATAATGTCACTTGTAGAGATACCGTTACCGGTTTGCCCCTACTGTCCAGTGACCCCACTCCAAAAGCAAGCATCACGCGCTGTGTGTGCGGTTCAGAATAAGAGGATCCAAGCAGAGGGCTTTGCCTGCAGTAAATGTTTCAGACAGATGTGAACAAGGCAGTTTCTCCGTGTTCACTGACAAATTTGGCCATAATACCCATGTCACTATAACGCACATCACATTTTCCTGAGAGTAAGTGATAATAGAATAAAAATCCCCGCTCTGAATATCAAGAGCTTCAATGATCCCACAAATCCCCCTGCAATTTTATCCAGACTGCCATCCCAGCAGTGGAAGCAGGGATTTTAGAAACCCATTTTTCTACCTAGGAACATCACTTTAGGACAATCATCTTTATTTCACTGCTATTCAGTTCCAGACCCATAAACATAAAGAGGGAAATACAGAAATAGAATCAGAAGGGCAGGGGAAGAAAAGAGTGGAACAAAATACTTTTTAAGAGCTGCATGGACTTAATGGAATTTCCTTTCTATATAATCCTCAGGATCATTAAAAATAGGTCCTGACTGCCTTTTTTTGGTCCTGCAAAAGTTCTAGGTCTTGTACCCCTTCTAACATAGGCACCAGGCTGACGGGTAGGAGTGCTTAGAGCCGGGGTCCCTCGCAGAGCAGCTGCACATTAGCTGGCATTTGCCAGTCCTCTGTGAGTCGGTTGCCAGGTTTCTAGAGTGTTAGAATAGTAAACAGTTGTTTCTCAGAAACAGAGAGAGGGTTATCCACAACCTCACATGCTAAATTTAAATTTAATAAAGCTCTTTCCTAACCATTGAGATCAGTGATTTTTAACCAGGGTGGGGGTGAGGAGAGATCTATCTCCAAGGAGTTTGGGGAAGGAACCAGCATGTGGAGTTCAAAAAAAGTCCCCGAGTGATTCTGTATCCCACCTCCAAATCCCAATGTCTCATCAGAGAGTCGCTGGCACAGAGCTGGGATGCTGACGGAGGCCCCTCCAGCTTTTTCTGCAATTTGCCCGCAGTGCTCCTGACATTTCCAAAAGGGAGCACTCAGGGAAGATCACACAGAGGAGATGTCAGAAGTCCTCGGCTGCCCTCCTTGATGTTGCCCTGTGAGCTTTCTCACAGCTATCAGGGGGCAGCTAAAGAGACAGAAGAGTCTAATGAGGATGAGGTGGGTATAATTAAATGTTGACAACAGTTGACGGAGAGTCTTAAGTTTGATCCTTGGAGCTGCGGGAGATTTAGAGTGGGAATTTGGATGTCATCAGTCGTGTCTTCTACAGTCCCTGAAGAGGCTGGGTATGGTAGGTCATGCCTGTAATCGCAGCAGTTTGGGAGCCAAGGCGGGTGGATCACCTGAGGTCAGGAGTTCGAGACCAGCCTGGCCAACATGAGAAAACCCTGTCTTTCCTCAAAATACAAAAAATTGGCCAGGTGTGGTGGTGGGTGCCTGTAATCCCAGCAGTTTGGGAGGCTGAGGTAGGAGAATTGCTTGAACCCGGAAGGCGGAGGTTGCAGTGAGCCTAGATTGGGTCATTGCACTTCAGCCTAGGCGACAGAGCAAGACTCTGTCTCAAAATCAAATCAAATCGAATCAAATCCCTGAAGAACAGGGATGGCTGCACAGACAAACAGCAATGAAGTATGGCAATGAAGGCTGAAGATGGAAGTAGATGCGTCCTTCCACACAATCCCCTGCTTTCATGTTATGAGCTTGGGAGGGAGGCTTCCTTTTTGCAAAAGTGGGAAAGCACAGATGTCATTTGTTTGAGCCATGACTGAAAAGACCCTTTGACCTTTGAAACCAAAATGTGTATAAGGGCTGGGTGTGGTGGCTCATACCTGTAATCCTAGCACTTTGGGAGGCTGAGGCAGGAGGATCGCTTGAGCTCGGGATCTCAAGACCAGCTTGAGCAACATAGTGAGAACCTGTCTCTACAAAAAATAAAATAAAATAAAATTAGCTGGATGTGGTGGCACACACCTGTAGTCCCAGATATTCAGGAGGTTGAGGTAGGAGGATAGCTTCAGCCAGGGAAGTCAAGGCTGCAACGAGCCGTGATCACGCCACTGCACTCCAGCCTGGGCAAAAGAGCAAGACTCTGTCTTCAAAAAAAAAAAATGTGTATAAGGAAACCAAAAACAAGCTGGTGTTTTAAAAATTGCTGGTAATTTTTTGTTTGGTAAGCCATAAAGAATTGCACATGCATAACTGTGGGGAAGACACTTTCCTAGTTCTGAAACTAACTCTTGAATTGGACATTTAGTTATGAAATTAAGGCTGGGTGCGGTGGCTCACGCCTGTAATCCCAGCACTTTGGGAGGCCGAGGCGGGTGGATCACAAGGTCAGGAGTTCGAGACCAGCATGGCCAATATGGTGAAACCCCGTATCTACTAAAAATACAAAATTAGCCGGGTGTGGTGGTGTATGCCTGTAGTCCCAGCTGCTCGGGAGGCTGAGGCAGGAGAATCGCTTGAACCTGGGAGGCGGAGGTTGCAGTGAGCCAAGATGGCACCACTGCACTCCAGCCTGGGTGACAGAGCAAGACTCCGTCTCAAAAAAAAAAAAAAAAAAAAAAAAAGAAATTAAAAGGGAAATCCCAAAATGGGAAATGGGGACCTGTGTGGCAGACATTCTTGGATGGCTTCCCAACAAATGGTCATATCTGTACTATAGGAGGTCTCAAAGTGGTCCTGAGGCCTTTTAGGTGGTTTCCAAGGTCAGAACCACTTTTATAATAATACTAAGACACTATTTGCCTTTGCCCCCTCATCCTGCCATGAGTCTACAGTTAAGTGTTCCTCATGCTACATGACATTCAGTAATAAAACAGATTGCAGGAGCAGACAGGAGAATCCAGGTTTCTTCCATTAAGACGGACAATAAAGAGATGTGCAAAAATGTAAAACAATGCTATGGTACCATTAATTTCTTTGGAAAATAGAGTTATGTTTCATAAAAATGCATTCTTTATGTGAAATGTATGTTCACATGTCATGCGTTTGTTGTTCATTTCAAATTAGTATACTAATTTTTAAATGCCCCAGTTTTAATTTCTAATATGGTAAACATTGATAGATATAATGCACATTAAAAAAAAAAACCTTTTATAGCTGGGTGCCGTGGCTCATGCCTGTAATCCCAGCACTTTGGGAGGCCAAGGCGGGCAGATCACCTGAGGTCAGGGGTTCGAGACCAGCCTGGCCAACATGGTGAAACCCCATCTCTACTAAAAACACAAAAATTAACTGGGCTTGGTGGTGGGCTCCCATAGTCCCAGCTGCTTGGGAGGCTGAGGCAGGAGAATCGCTTGAACCCTGGAGGTGGAGGTTGCAGTGAGCCGAGATCGTGCCACTGCATACCAGACAGAGTGGTACTCCATCTCAAAAAAAAAAAAAAAAAATTAGCCGGGCACGGTGGTGGGCGCCTGTAATCCCAGCTACTCAGGAGGTTGAGGCACGAGAATCACTTGAACCCAGGACACAGAGGTTGCAGTGAGCCGAGATCACACCATTGCACTCCAGCCTGGGCAACAAGAGTGAAACTCTGTCTCAAAAATAAATAAATAAATAGTAAATTAAGAAAAAATAAAAGTTCTTTATGGTTCTGCAACTTTTAAGAGTATAGAGGAGTCCCAAGAACAAATTCTGAGCATAGCTGCTATAGTGAATGTCTGAGGCAGATCGAGGTAAACAGAAGATAGGCTGGAGGCCGGGAGCTACCAGCCAGAGGCTCCACTCAGTGGCCCGGAGGGGTCACTATTTCTGTGCAGTAACCTGTGCCTTGGCACCCCTAGAGGGAAGCCATAGAACCCAGCAGCCATTCCCAAACCCCTTTTTCTTTGCCTGCCTCCCACCAAAGAACCTGGGGAAAACAAAATAAATTAACAAATATTTATTTTCCTGGCCTACTTTGCAGTCTGCAGTGGCCAAGTGTCTCCGTCCTCACCAAGGAGATGTAAAGAGAAGTGGATGGGGATTCTTTTCTTTTGTTTTTCTTTTTGTTTGTTTGAGATGGAGTCTCGGTCTGTTGCCCAGGCTGGAGTGCAGTGGCACGATTTCAGCTCACTGCAACCTCCGCCTCCTGGGTTCAAGCGATTGTCCTGCCTCAGCCTCCCAAGTAGCTAGAATTACTAGGTGTGCCTGGCTAATTTTTGTATTTTTAGTAGAGACGGGGGTTTCGCCATGTTGGCCAGGCTGGTCTCGAACTCCTGACCTCAGGTGATCCACCCGCCTCAGACTCCCGAAGTGCTGGGATTACAGGCGTGAGCCACCGTGCCTGGCAGTTTCTGAGAAAGATTTTGCTTTCTCCCAAAAGCTACAGGTGGGAGAAAAGAACATGCTGGCACTTCCCCTCTCTCTTGCCTTAAATGCCTGGAGCTGAGGCAGCCATGCTGCAACTGGGAGGGGCCAAGCACACGGCCTTTGGGATGGTGGAATGCGAAAACTGGCTTAGACAGAGCCAGGGTGCAGCCTCCATGCTCTTTTTGTCACATCGGAAAAATAAACCCCATTCGTGTAAGCTAGTCTAGTTCAATTTTCTGTGTTTAGCATCTAGAAACATGGCTCATGGAGACAGCTATCTACGAAGCTATGGAGCCAGGATGCTAACCTGCTCTGTGTAGCACAGTGAAGAATTGTCTCTGTGGCTGGTGGAGTGCGGTGCAGATTTAGGTTGCCTTGAGGAAAAATGTTTTATTGTGCATTTTTTCTTAAGTATACTCAGAGACGGCTCTGTGCTTAAAAAAACAAACAACATGGCCTAGCACAGTGGCTCACGCCTGTAATCCCAGCACTCTGAGACGAGTTACAGTGGTTGTCTTGAACTGTGATTGTGCCCCTTGCACTCCAGTCTGAGTGACAGAGACTCCATCTCAAACAACAGCAACAAAACACAACATATCCCATAAAATGTGTGCTTACGGAGTGTGTTTTGTCTGAAAGTTGCTGAAAGCTGTTGCTGGGCTGAAAGTTGAAGGAGCTGTCCCAGGCTCTGGCAAGAGCAGCACTCTTTGGGCACCAGAGACAGACTGTGGGGCGGAGGAGGGAAAGGGGCTACACCCTTCCCCACACACCCGGCCAAATTTCACACACGGCTCCCTGGGAATGTGACCGTCCCATGCAGTGCCACCCATACAGCCAAACCTCCAAGGCGAGCAAGTGGAGGTCATCATTCAAGTCAGCCTCTCCTCTGTTTGAGGCCCAGTTGCTTTTGCTGGAACTCATGACTCTGATTCTGGTCTCTGATCTCTGATTCTTGATCTCTGATTCTGGTCTCTGTAGTTCGATGTTTGCCTCAGTGTGTGGCATTCAAAAGTCCTCCTACCTTTGCCCTCTCCATCTGCTGCACCTCCCACCAACTTAGATGAAACTCTTGTACTTGGTCTTGGTCCTTTTATCTATCAATATTTGCCATATTACAAATAAAAACTAAGACATTTAAAAATATTATATTACTTCTCACTTATAAGTGAGGACATGTGGTATTTGGTTTTCTGTTCCTGTGTTGGTTTGCTAAGGATAATGGCCTCCAGCTCCATCCGCGTCCCTGAAAGGACATGATCTCATTCTTTCTTATGGCCGCATTGTATTCCATGGTGTATATGTACCACGTTTTCTTTATCCAGTATGGCATTGATGGGCATTTGGGTTGATTCCATGTCTTTGCTATTGTGAATAGTGCTGCAATGAACATGCGCGTGCACAGGTCTTTAGAGTAGAATGATTTCTATTCCTTCGGGTATATACCCAGTAATGGGATTGCGGGTCAGGTGGTATTTCTGTCTTGAGGTCTTTCAGGAATCGTCACACTGTCTTCCACAATGGTTGAACTCATTTACACTCCCACCAACAGTGTATATGAGAACACATGGACACATGGAGGGGAACAACACACACTGGGGCCTACTGGAGAATGAAGGGTGGGAGGAGGGAAAGGATCAGGAAAAATAACTAATGAGTTAATGTTTACTAGGCTTAATACCTGGGTGATGAAGTAATCTGTACAACAACCCCCCCACGACACAAGTGTACCTGTGTCAACCAAAACCACAATTACTTTTCCATCAACATAATAACAAACCTAATAATGTACCCCTGAACTTAAACTAAATGTTAAAAAAATTTATATTAATTCACTGAAAAATAACAACAAGTTATTACACATGAACATAAATGTAGCATAAGATCCCCAGGGTTGTTGTCTGATCAAGCCAGCCCTGGCTTACCTGGCAACGGGAAGAGGAGGGACTATGGCCTCTTCTGAAGTGAGGTAATCATTCTGATGAAACAATGTGTGTAAAGATAATATTCAAAAGCAGGCCAGGTGCAGTGGTTCATGCCTGTAATCCTAGTGCTTTGAAAGGCCAAGGCAGGAGGATTGCTTGAGGCCCACGGTTTGAGACCAGCCTGGGCAACATAGTGAGACCTCCCGTCTCTATACAAATTTTAAAAATTAGCCGGGTATAGTGGTGTGCACCTGTAGTCCCAGCTACTCGGGAGGCTGAGGCGGAAAGATTGCTTGAGCCCAGGTGTTCAAGGATGCAGTGAACTATGATCTCAACACCACACTCCAGCCTGGGGGACAGAGTGAGACGGTGTCTCAAAAAAACAAAACAAAACAAAACCCCCAAACCCAGAAGCATCCCATCCAGTCATCAGTCATTATTACTAATGTTGCAAGTTCTGACCTTCAGTGAGTGTCCTGGGGTGCAGCAGGTGACTGGTGATTCTTCGTGCCCCACCCTCTTTCTTTTTTTTTTTTTTTTTGAGACGGAGTCTTGCTCTATTGCCAGGCTGGAGTGCAGTGGCGCGATCTCGGCTCACTGCAAACTCCACCTCCTGGGTTCAAGCGATTCTCCTGCCTCAGCCTCCTGAGTAGCTGGGACTACAGGAGCCCGCCACCAAGCCCGGCTAATTTTGTTTTTTTGTATTTTTAGTAGAGACGGGGTTTCACTGTGTTAGCCAAGATGGTCTCGATCTCCTGACCTCGTGATCTGCCCGCCTTGGGCTCCCAAAGTGCTGGGATTATAGGCGTGAGCCACTGCGCCCAGCCACTGCCCCACCCACCCCTTTTCACATCCCACTCACATTCCTCACACTGCACACTTCCCTGGTGCCTTGTATTTTCCTTAAGATTACCTGAATGTTTGCTTTGAATTTGTTTCCCCAGTGTAAAGCATGTGTGTGTGAGTGTGAAGGAGAAGGTGGGCATATGTATGAGGGATGGAGTGGGCATCTGGTATGCACAATATGACTTTCCCCACACCCCATTCTCCTGATGGTCAGAGACCGCCTTTAAGACCCAGGACAGAAACAGTGCATGGGGAAGAGGGGGTGACAGATTGTATGGAATCTTTCTGAATCTTCCTTCAAACACTTTCTAATTACCCGGTCCTTTCCTTCACATATAATCTATATAACAGTCAATCATGACCTTCCATTTATTTTCTAAAAACCTTAATTCTGGCTTTTATTCCTAAACATATCTGCATGGTGAGCAGCCAGGCTGGTGAGCCACACCTAGGATTCCCTTCCCAGACTAGGGGAATTTAGACAATGAAATCACAAACACACCATAATGAAGACCTCCTGCCCCCCACCCCCCAACCTGTCTCTTTCTTTGCTTTTCAGGATCTTCTCTTGTACTGCAGCAGCATAGCCAAGGAGGGGTATAGGGGTCCACAGAGCCCATCTGGGTATCCGGTCTCAAAGACCTTATCATTGCCAACTCCAATGAGGCATCTGCATGAAGGGAGCTGTGTTCTTTTTTTATTTTTATTTTTCTAATTATTATTTTTTTATTTTTATTTTTCTAATTATTATTTTTAGACTGAGTTTCGCTCTTGTTGCACAGGCTGGAGTGCGGTGGTGCAGTCTTGGCTCACTGCAACCTCCGCCTCCTGGGTTCAAGTGATTCCCTGGCTGGGCTCGGTGGCTCACACCTGTAATCCCAGCACTTTGGGAGGTTGAGGCAGGCAGATCATCTGAGGTCAGGAGTTCAAGGCCAGCCTGGCCAACAGGGTGAAACCCTGTCTCTACTAAAAATGCAGAAATTTGCTGGGCGTGGTGGTGCGAACCTGTAATCCCACCTACTCAGGAGGCTGAGGCAGGAGAATGGCTTGAACCCAGGAGGCAGAGGTTGCAGTGAGTGGAGACAGCACCGCACTCCAGCCTGGGCAACAAGAGTGAAACGCTGTCTAAAAATAATAATAATAAATAAAATAAAATATGCCTCCATCTGTAAGAGGCAAAGACACCTAGGGTGAAAAGGTAAATACCTTGTGTAAAATTTGACTAAAACCCCAGAAATTAACTCAAGTCCTGGAACGCGTCCCAGGACGCTGCTCCCAGAACCACTGTTTCAGTGTTGCTTGCTGGGGAAGGGCCCTCACCAGCAAACAACAGAGGGTGCCCAAAGTAACAATTGGACTTAATAAAAGGAGCTTATACGAAGGAGGATTGAAGGTTGCTGTTGTCCTATGCTGGGGGATGCCCCAACTCCTACTGCAGGATCCAGCGCGTCTGTCTTCCGACTCCAATGATGACTCTTCTGTGGTCTGGTGAGCTTTGGTTACATTTTGTCTTCTTTTATGGGTTCTTTTATACCTACTTAAGGCTGATTTGCTGTGATATTTGCTTACAGTAATAAAGTTTTAGTTTTCCCCTCCCCGCTACTAGAGTTCTCGGCTTGCCCTTCCAACACCATCTTGAAACACCTGCCTCCATCTAGTAGGCTGATCCCCTCAGCTATCGCTCTTGCTTTCTTTCCTCTACATGCGTGCTTGGGAGAAGGTGGGTCAGGATTAGGGCACAGGAGTTAATGAAGCAGATTGGCTTACATGGGAATCTAACGTAGGATACCGGTCTTATCACCTCCTGGCCCAACCCATATAGCAATTTGTGATGAGGCCGGGTGCAGTAGCTCATGCCTGTAATCCCAGCACTTTGGGAGGCCAATGCAGACAGATTGCCTGAGCCCAGGAGTTTGAGATCAATATGGGCAACATGGGAAAAACCCGTTTCTGCAAAAAATTAGCTGGGCGTGTTGATGCGCATCTGTAGTCCCAGCTACCCGGAAGGCTGAGGTGGGAGGGATCCTCTGAGCCCCGGAGGTCAGGGATGCAGTGAGCCAAGATTGCACCACTGCACTCCAACCTGGGCAAAAAAGTGAGACCTCTGACTCAAAAAAAAAAAAAAAATTGGTAATGGGAAAGGGCTGGCAGGGATCTACTGAATTTCAGGCCACTACAGAAGCAGCTTTCAGTGTCCTTCAGTGCCTTCCCAAATTCAAGTCTGAGATTTATCTGGACACTGGGCACTGGGTAGAACCCTGTTTTACATGTGACTTGGTATTGGTAAAAGGCAATATTATAGAGAGAAAAAAAATCACTGGACAAAGAAAGAATTAAAGGGTTTCTTTTAGGTTAATATAAAAGAGACAGACTAAAATGAATTTCCCAACCAAGGAAGTATTCTTTTATCTACAAGAATTACCATAAGTAATGGGAATCATGGAACTTGAATAATTAATTTATTTTGTTAAAGAAAGCACAACAGAAAGACAAAGCGGGAGAAGAAGGGGAGGAGACAAGAATAAGAAGAAAAAGAGCAAAAAGAACAAGAACAAGAAGAAAAAGAGTAAGAAGAAGCAAGAGCAGCACCAGAAATGATGCATCCAATGTGCAGTAAGGTTATATTTTAAATGTAGTTAGTAACATATGGTGATGTGTTATAAATATGCATTCACAATTAGTATGTAATGATAAATGTAATTTACTAGATTATTAAGCATCTTTGTTTAATTAGCAAATACTTAAATTATTATAGACATATAATTACATGTATTAAATTAGCAACAGTTTTCCTGTATTTATGCAATTATGCAGAGGCATCCTTTAGTGTGCTGTTAGTATAAGAATGAGTAGTCAGTAAGCATGTTGAATATTTTCTCTTTCTAACCTGCTTTCCATTATTTGATTAAATGAAGTCACATAAGCAGAGCACTGTGCACTGTGCCAGCACGTAGCATTTGCTCATAAACATTGCCTGTTATTCTTGGAATTAATCAATATATATTTCCCGAATGGCTCAACTACTATGTACAGTTCAGACTTGGAGGACAAAAAAAAACAATTTTTTTTTTTTTTTTTTGAGACGGAGTCTCACTCTGTCACCAGGCTGGAGTGCAGTGGCACGATCTCGGCTCACTGCAACCTCCACAGTCTGGGTTCAAGCGATTCTCCTGCCTCAGCCTCCCAAGTAGCTGGGACTACAGGTGCACACTACCATGTCCAGCTAATTTTTCTATTTTTTAGTAGAGACAGGGTTTCACCATGTTGGCCAGGATGGTCTCGATCTCTTGACCTCATGATCCACCCGCCTCGGCCTCCCAAAGTGCTAGGATTACAGGGGTAAGCCACCGTGCCCGGCCAAAAAAGCAAATTTCTAATCCACCAGGTTATTTACAATCTACTTCTTGCATTTAGAATTGATCCCTTCATCCTCTAGCATTTAGTTTATACTTCTAGTGTAGGTTTTTATCTTTATTTTTTCTGTTTTATTGTATGTGTATTTCCTCTTCTTGACTCTAAATTCCTTGAGGTCAAGCCTACAGCACCATTACCTGAGATTTGGACATAGAAATTATGTTCTTTGAGTGAAACATTTTGATTTACTGAGTCTAACTCTGTAGATGTCTAATGATACGCTGTTTTCATGCCAAATGTACAGTAACCTAGAAGAATATAATTACCAGATTACATAGTTTCCTCTGAAATTTATGTATAAGCCAAGGATGCACAAGTGCAAGATTTTCATTTATAATTTTTGTTTGTTTGTTTTTTGAGACAGAGTCTCACCCTGTCGCCCAGGCTAGAGTGCAATGGTACAATCTCCACTCACTGCAACCTCCGCCACCTGGGTTCAAGCGATTCTCCTGCCTCAGCCTCCCGAGTAGCTGGGATTACAGGCACCCACCATCATGCCTGGCTAATTTTTGTATTTTTTGTAGAGATGGGGTTTCACCATGTTGACCAGGTTGGTCTCGAACTCCTGACCTCAGGTGATCCACCCACCTCAGCCTCCCAAAGTGCTGGGATTATAGGCATGAGCCACTGTGCCTGGCCAGATTTTTATTTATTTATTTTATTTTATTTTATTTTTTGAGATGGAGTTTCACTCTTGTTGTCCTGGCTGGAGTGCAATGGCATGATCTCGGCTCACTGCAACCTCTGCCTCCTGGGTTCAAGCAGTTCACCTGCCTCAGCCTTCCAAGTAGCTGGGATTATAGGCGTGTGGCACCATGCCTGGCTAATTTTGTATTTTCTTAGTAGAGATGGGGTTTCACCATATTGGTCAGGCTGGTCTTGAACTCCTGACCTCAAGTGATGCGCCTGCCTCAGCCTCCCAAAGTGCTGGGATTACAGGTGCAAGCCACCTCGCCCGGCCCCAGATTTTCATTTATAATTGAAAGTGTAAAGATTGACAAAAGGGTAAGTGAGACCAAGATTGAATTAAATTAAATAAACTTTGGTACAACTATACTATGGAACTATACAGCAATTAAAATACTGTACATATGCAGTATATGTCTATGTTGTGTGGTAGAAAGACCTGTAAGACATACTGTTAAGCAACTCGGCTTCTAAGCTTGCCTAGTATTGTTAATATAATTCCATTCTTCTAGTAACACAGGCCTATCCCTCATCTCTTCTCAAGTTGAAGGAGTCATAAAGTCCTTTTCACTTCAAGGTCGGGCTCGGTGGCTCATGCCTGTATTCCCAGCACTTTGTGAGGCCAAAGCGGGTGGATCACTTGAGGTCAGGAGTTCAAAACCAGCCTGGCCAACATGGTGAAACCCTGTCTCTACTAAAAATTCAAAAAAATTAGCCGGGCATGGTGGCACGCACCTGTAATCCCAGCCACTAGGGAGGCTGAGGCAGGAGAATCACTTGAACCTAGGAGGCGGAGGTTGCAGTGAGCAGAGATTGTACCACTGCACTCCAGCCTGGGAGACAGAGTGAGACTCCATCTCCAAATCAAATCAAATAAAATAAGGTACTTTTCACTTCAAGATCTGCCATCTTAATTTCAACCTACAGTGCCACGTGTTGAAGTTCTACAGCTTTGTCTGTGTCTAGTTTTTTCCAGCTCTACTGCTCCATGGTAAGTCATCCTAAGATGTGCATACATCATGCCTTTGGCCCACATTTGGCAGGAGCCTGCATTCAGTAGTTTTAGCATAGCAGTCAAGAGGTTTCACAATTTCACCCTTACCTAAACTGCAGTTTTAATATTATCTCCTATTACCTACTTGAGTTGTGTCTTAGTCAAACTTGCAGGTTTCTTCTTATCACTCTGGTTTTGTTCCCAGAATTCTGATGATCCCCATGCCCTCTTCCATGTTGAGTGCTATAGTGGAAGGGATCAGACTCTAAATTGGGGCACCTGGCTCGTGTTCTCCGCTCCTCACTTCACTGGCAGGGATGTTGGCTGATGAATCCATCTCCTTGTCCTCTGCTTCTTCACCTGTGAGATACACGTAATGCTGTCCACCTCCTCAACCTCTCCAGGTTGCTATGAGGAGCAAATGCACTATGTCTCAATAGAGGAATGTAAATAATAATACAACTATAAGATTTAATAACTAATGGCTGGGCGCAGTGGCTCACGCCTGTATTTCTAGCACTTTGGGAGGCTGAGGTGGGGGGATCACGAGGTCAAGAGATTGAGACCATCCTGGCCAACATGGTGAAGCCCCATCTCTACTAAAAATACAAAAATTAGCTGGGCATGGTGGCACACACCTGTAGTCCCAGCTACTCGGGAGGCTGCAGCAGGAGAATCACTTGAACCCAGGAGGCAGAGGTTGCAGTTAACCGAGATCATGCCACTGCACTCCAGCTTGGCGACAGAGTGAGACTCTGTCTCAGTTAAAAAAAAAATTTAATAACTAATAAAAATGCAGACTAGATTGCATCTCTTCAACAAGACTTTTCTCAGCCTTTAATAATTACCTTGTTATTGTCCATGTACCTCATTTAGTAATATATGTAATTAGTAATACATGGTGGTGTGTTATAAATATGCATTCACAATTAGTATGTAATTAGAAATGTAATTTACTAGATTATTAGGTATCTATGTTTAATTAGCAAATACTTAAATTATTATAGTTATGTAATTACATGGTTTTGTTTTGTTTTTTGTTTTTTGTTTTTTTGCTTTTGAGACAAAGCCTTGCTGTGTTGCCCAGGCTGGAGTGCAGTGGCATGATCTCGGCTCACTGCAACCTCCACCTCCCGGGTTCAAGTGATTCTCCTGCCTCAGCCTCCTGAGTAGCTAGGATTACAGGCACCCACCACCATGCCCAGCTAATTTTTGTATTTTTAGTAGAGACAGGGTTTTGCCATGTTGGCTAGGCTGGTCTCAAACTCCTGACCTCAGGTGATCAACCTGCCTCGGCCTCCCAAAGTGCTGAGATTACAGGCGTGAGCCACCATGCCTGGCCAATTACATGTATTAAATCAGTAAGAGTTTTCCTGTATTTATGGAATTAGTAAAAATGCATGTATTACATGTATTAAATTAGTAAGAGTTTTCCTGTATTTGTGGAATTAATAAAAATACAATTATACAGTGATATCCTCATGGTATATCCCTTCTTTCTGAATATTTTCTCTCCCCAACTAAATTTCAGCATTGTATAGAGGAAATGACATTTTTGGCCTCTTTGTATTTTCAGTCTGTGACACAGTCCCTGGATGTAAGTAACACGTGATCAACAGGGAAGTTGTCCTCAACATCACCATTAACAGCCTCCCCTTTTGCATACAGATGACGTATCCCAGTTAGAACAATAAGTTCTCTGGTCACCCTATTAATAAATGACTGTGTCCTAGCCACTCGGGAGGCTGAGGCTGGAGGATCACTTGAACTCAGACGTTCAAGGTTACAGTCAGCCATGATCCCGCCATGGAACTCCAGCCTGCGTCACAGAAGAAGTCTCTGTCTCTAAAAAATAATACTACTAAATAAATAAATAAATGACTGTGGATAAGAATGATGGTAAAGAAGCATGCTTCATGCAGTGTTTTCTCTGGCTTCTTTTTTTTCATTCCCTTCCTTTCTTGATGTTACAGCCAGATTTTGGATGTTTGTTTTTGAAAACAGAACCATTCATTAGCCCTTCTTTCACATGGAAATATAGAATTGTAATTTTCATTTCAAGTGCGGCCATATGTTAGGATGAAATATTATCTCCTGAAAAGCTGTATGCAAAATATTGCTCTTCTGTTTTTGGCTTAGCTGATAGAGACAAGGGCAGAAGCTGGCTGGTACAAAGTTGACATGGTGGAATGGACTTGACATTCTCCAAGTAGCCTGATCTAACCCTTTGGGTTGTAAGAGCAGCATAAAATCAGCAGGTGAGACATGAGATTACAATTTGGTTCCCTGGTATTTAAAAACATCATTATAATAAGCTACGTAGGAAGAAAGGTGTTATCAGATATTAATTACCACTGTAGTCAAAGAGATTAAAAAATTAAATTTTTATTTAATCCCCAAGCAGCCAATGAAGTTGTGACCCAGCAAAGCAATGTGATTTCAGGGTTTAGATTCTTCTTTCAGTTATTTTGAAAATAGCAGATATCGCCTTGATTTGAATCTAGCATGGACATTGTAGCCATAGGCAGAGTTTGTGAGAATTCTCATTTTGGCAGCGACATAGGACATCTCGTCCTCTGGGTGCAGAGGCCTGACCTTGAGTTTGGCACCTTTGAGCATGAGCACCTTTGGGGAAGACACTGTTTCTCTCCTCTCATTCAGAACACTTTTGTGACCAAATGTTTGGGGGGTGGGTGGTTCCCCCACACCAAGAAATTTTCCAATTCTCTGCACACATCAACTGGGTGTCCTACAATTTAGTTCTGTTCAGAGACTAACCGGAGTTAGGAGGGATCCCACAGTTTAAGGGTTCAGTCCCACAACACTCCCTGACTCCCCAGTTCACATGCCAATCACAAGTCTCAAATCATGATATCCGTTTCTAACCTATTGGCTATAAATTAAGGGTTTCCATGATCCCTTCCTGGGTTTGATCACTTGCTAGCGTGGCTCACAGAACTCAGGAAAACAGGTTACTTACTAGAGCACCAGTTTATTACCAAGGATACAGATCAGGTACAGCCAGACGAAAAAGATGCACAGGCAAGGTACAAGGTCGCCGCCCTCTCCAGGTGTGCCACCCCCCAGCTCCTCCGTGTTCACCAACCCCCATAGTTCAGGGATTTTCATAGAGGCTGCATCACATAGGCATGATTGGGGCTGAAAGTTCAAATCTTCTAATCAATCATGGTTTGTCCTTCTGGTGACCAGCCCCCATCCAGGAACCCACCAAGAGTCACTTAATTAAAGCAAAATATGCTTCTGTTAACCTAGAATATTCCAAGGGATTAGAAGCTCTGTGTCATGAAACAGAGTCAAAGATCAAATATTAGAAGAAAAGATTCTCCTAGCACCCCTATTGCTCGGGAAATTACAAGGGTTTTTGCAGCTCTGTGACAGGAACCAGGGAACAAATATTAAAACCAACCTACCTTCCTTCCTTCCTACCTTCCTTCCTTCCTTCCTTCCTTCCTTCCTTCCTTCCTGCCTGCCTGCCTTCCTGCCTTCCTGCCTGCCTGCCTTCCTGCCTTCCTGCCTTCCTGCCTTCCTGCCTTCCCGCCTTCCTGCCTTCCTGCCTTCCTTTTCTTTCTTCTTTTTTTCTTTTTGAGACAGGGTCTTGCTGTGTTGCCGAGGCTGGAATGCAGTGGTGTGATCATAGCTCACTGCAGCCTAGAACTGCTGGGCTCAAGTGATCCTTCCACCCCAGCCACCCGAGTAGCTGGGACTACAGCTGCATGCCATCATGCTCGGCTATTTTTTCTATTTTTTATAGAGATGGCGTTTTGCCATGTTGCCCAGCTGGTCTTACATTTCTTGTTATAAATCACAATATCCCAGCGCCCTTAGTGAGAGACATGCAGTAAATTCTAAGTTGGAGGAGACAAAACATATAGGACAGGAGTGTTCAAAAGTGACACTTATGGCTATATCACCCCTCCTGGAGGACAGACAACTTTGGTACAAGTGATGCTGCATTAGTGTTCAGTATGCTTAGGGACCTTTCGGAAAGCAAGAAGTTTCAGAGGTGAGTGGAGTGTTCAATTATCCCTGTACTGTAGGATAAATGTCAACACCCCGGTGGAACCT
Organism: Homo sapiens; assembly: GCF_000001405.40. NCBI lineage: Eukaryota > Metazoa > Chordata > Mammalia > Primates > Hominidae > Homo > Homo sapiens. The sequence continues at coordinate 236,655,462 of NC_000001.11, forward strand.
AAGTACTATCTTGTTGGTTTGGATGGTAATCTTACCCCAAGTGCAGGCATACATATTAGCATATTTAAGATATATATTTTAGCATATCCTATATTTTAATCCTCTTATGATTTGACTGAATCTTGATTCTGGTTTCTATCTTTGGTCACCTTCTTCTGGAAAGTGTCTCAGATGCCCCACAAATATCAGGCAGGATCCACATTCTGATGTGGTTTTCATGCTATGCTCTTAGATAAACTCCGTAGCTCCGCGTGGTGAACTTAGGTGTTCTGCTCATAAATTCAAAGAAAAAAGATTGTTTCTTAACAGCCAGGAAAAAATCTTTTAATGGGTTGGGTTTACTCAACTTTTAACTATTTTTTTCCATAATTTTGTAAAGGATTTGCAAACTTGAGTTGGCCATAGACAAAATGAGTAAAAGTTTAGCAAATAAGTAAAAACAAGAGGCCGTGCGTAGTGGCTCATGCCTGTAATCTCATCACTTTGGGAGGCTGAGGCAGGATGATTGCTTGGGGCCAGGAGTTCAAGACCACCCTGGCCAACATAGTGAGACCCATCTCTTCAAAATAAATAAATAATAAAAACAAGAAACTTGGCTGGGCATTGTGGCTCACGCCTATAATCCCAGTGCTTTGGGAGGCTGAGGTGGTTGAATCACCTGAGGTCAGGAGTTCAAGACCAGCCTGGTCAACATGGTGAAACCCCATCTCTACTAAAAATATAAAAATTAGCCAAGCAGTGGTTGTGGATGCTTGTAATCCCGGCTACTTGGGAGGCTGAGGCAGGAGAATCACTTGAACCTGGGAGGCGGAGGTTGCAGAGAGCCGAGGTCGTGCCATTGCACTCCAGCCTGGGCAACGAGAGCAAAACTCTGCCTAAAAAACAAAAAACAAAACCCAAGAAACTCATGCTTTGGTAGGTTTTCTGTTTGCTTTTTTATGTTTCTATTTATAGTTGTGATTTTATATAGCATCATCTGTTAAATAGAGTTATCCTTTTAGTCAAACTGTCTTGGTTTTGACAAGGGAATTGAATGCAAATGATGTGGCTGGAGCTGCTCCTTGGGAAAGTCCAGTCTGCATGGGATGAATTCGATTCCCACCGGAGGCAGGTAGGATTCCACAATCATCCAGAGATGCAGTGATTAGCAGCAACTCTTCACTCTTTTGAGTTCTTACTCCACAGCCATACCAGGGTAAACAAGCAATCAATATTAGTTCTTGACACTGATTTGTAGCTGCTACTCCCCAAGGAGGTGGTAGCCAATAGACAGATGTTCCTAACATCTCTCTCACCTTGGACCCAACAGGCAGGGTAAGTTGTGCCGGCATGACTCCAGGGAACACCATTCACTTCAGGGGCATCAGAAATGTATATGGAGGCTGGGCATGGTGGCTCATGCTTGTAATCCCAGCACTTTGGGAGGCCAAGGCAGGAGGATCTCTTGAGCCCAGGAGCTTGAGACAAGCCATGGTGACATAGTGAGACTTCTCTATCAAAAAAAAAAAAAAAAAAGCCAACAACAAAAAGAAATTTATGTGGAGATGATGACAATTTTCTGGCTTATGGCTTCAAAGTGTCCTGAGGAAGGGGATCTCATTTGTAATTTGCGCAAAGTCTCCTTTTATGCAAACAGTGGGGCTGGGGGGATATGACCCTTGAGAGGAAAGAGGGCTACATTTCTTGGTGTTTTTAGAGTGGTATTAGCTAACTAGTTCCCTTCATCTCCAGTCTGCTAACATCAGCATCATGCCACGCGATCCTTACTGCGACTGGCATCCTAAACACTAGTGGAATCACGCCACCCTTAGCAAGTACGTCCTTGTGAGCCCTAGCTGCCATTTCCAGACCAAGAGACTCTTTCTTGGTCAATGCGATAACATCTTAATTTTGGCAATGGCTCTTTCAGTCTCCCATTCCTTATGTCCTCTTGGCAAAGCTTGTCTACCCCAGGGAAGCAAAATAAATGGATTTTAGCTTTGTAATTCCCCGTGCTGTTGACACTGACAACTACAGGACTATATAAAACCCAAGTGCCATTATCAGCTCTGACCAAAAGGAAAACAAGTCCAAGAGGTGTGCCAGGGTAGGAATTCCCATCCTAAAAAAAGATACGGATGTCTTCATTTCGCTGGTGAGCAGCCTTAGCCTTGACTATGTGCGGTCAGCTTGGCCGTGTAGTTGGAGTCGTGCTTGGGTGTGCTTTCAGGTTAGGCACCTAAAATATCTCTCCTTTTTTTTTTTTTTTTTTTTTTTTTTTTTGAGATGGAGCCTTGCTTGGTCTCCCAGGCTGGAGCGCAGTGGTGCGATCTTGGCACAATGCAACCTCTGCCTTTCAGGTTCAAGCAATTCTCCTGCCTCAGCCTCCCAAGTAGCTGGGATTACAGGTGCCTGTCACCATGCCCAGATGATTTTTGTATTTTCAGTAGAGACAGGGTTTCACCATGTTGACCAGGCTGGTCTCCAACTCCCAACTTTCAGTGATCTGCCCGTCTCGGTCTCCCAAAGTGTTGGGATTACAGATGTGAGCCACCGTGCCCAGCCTCTCCTCTTAAGGGTAAGATTATGTAGCAGCCCAGTCTGAGAGACAGGCCAGGCAGACAATTCTGTACACACTATAATTCAAAGGGTGAAGTCCTCCACCCTCAAAAAATCATGTATATTTATACAACAAGATTGCTTTCTCCCTGGAGGTATTCTTCTTTTGAAAGGCAGGTGTTCCTGCTAGCAATCCTGGAGAGGCTCATGCCTGTGTTCCCAGCACTTTGGGAAGCCAGGGTGGGAGGATTGCTTGAGGGCAGAAGTTCAAGACCAGGCTGGGCAACGTAGCAAGATCCTGTCTCAACAAAAAATTAAAAAATTAGCCAGGCATGGTGGTGCACACTTACAGCCCTGCCTACTAGACAGGCTGAGGTGGGAGGATCAGTTGAGCCTAGGAGTTCAAGGTTATAGTGAGCTCTGATTACACCACTCACACTTCAGCCTGGGCGGCGTCAGACACAAAATCAGCCGGCACCTTGATCTTGGACTGCCCAGTCTCCACAACTGTGAGAAATACGTTTCTGTTGTTTAAGCAATCCAGACTGTGGTGATTTGTTAAAGCTGACTAAGACAGTATTTGCTATCAAGAAGGGGGGTGCTCCTATACCAATTCCTAGAAATGTAAAAGTGGCTTTGGAACTTTGAAAGAAGGCAAGAGATGGAGGAGAGGTTCTCAGAGAGGACAGATGAGACCAGATCTCACTCTGCCCTGTGTCGGCCTAGGGTTTGGCCACATGGGCACACCAGCCTCTTCTGGGTAGATTAGCAGACGGGCAAGATGCAGGTAACCAAAAGAACAATTTCTATATAAATCTGTTTCTTTGGGTGTAGAAGTAGCTTGAAGGTTTTTAGGAGTTTTTCAGGTGCCTTTCTAAAATGACCTTTGTGCATTTGAAAAACCAAAACCATGAATGGAATCCGCTACATAATTTAGGGGGTCCAATGCAAAATGAAAATGTGGGGGTATCTTGTTCAAACATTAAGAATTTCAGGTTGTTGGTAACAGCCGAGCACTAAATCAAGCACAGGACCCTTGAGGGTGAGGTCTGAGACTGTAGGACTACGCAGGCTGTGCACCCATGAAACAGCCGTGAATAAGGTTTGTTCACTCTCTCTCTTGGCCAGAGTTTTCTTTTCTTTTCCTTTTCTTTCCTTTTCTTTTTTTTTTGTTTTTTTTTTTGAGGCAGGGTCTCAATATGTTGCCCAGGCTGGAGTGCAGTGGTATGATCTCAGCTCACTGCAACCTCCACCTCCTGGGCTCAAGCCATCCTCCCACCTCAGCCTTCCAAGTAGCTGGGACTACACCTGTGCACCACCACACCAGGCTAATTTTTTTCTATTTTTTGTGGAGACTGGGTTTCACCAGGTTGCCTAGGCTCTCTCGAACTCCTGAGCTCCGCCTTGGCCTCCCAAGTGCTGGGATTATAGGCGTGACCCAACACACCTGGCCATGGCAAGAGTTTTCTTACCTGCCATAAATTAGTGGTTCTTAGGCTGTGGTCCCCTGGAGAGGACCATCAGCAACATCTGAGAACTTGTTAGAAATGCCAAACCTTGAGCCCCAATCTGTGTTTTAACGAGATCACCTCCAGGTGATTCTGTCTCATGGCCAAGTTTGAGAGCCGCTAACACAGGCAATGACTAGAATGATAGATTTTGGAATAGAAGCGATCTTTGGGATCATGTGGGCTACCCACATGAGGATTTCCTTATTATGAGGGAATTAGGGCAGGGTGAGGCACAGTGAGGTCTACAATTTATGTTTAGCTCCCTATTCCTCCACTGAATATATAGCACCAAATGATCTATTTCACTAGTTAATTACTCATAGTCAGCTTACCGGTAAAGACAGCTCATATCCCAATTTTAAAGATGAGGAAATCAAAACGCCATAAGTGTTCAATGAGTCGACAAGTGGAGCTGAGGTTAAAACCCAGAGCTCCCAAATCCCCTGTCTGTGGCCCTCTCCCCAGCCTTCAGGTAATATGATACAGCCAGCAGGTGGGCTAAGCCACTTTCCACTCTGCAATAGCATCAGAACCCAAGAGGAACCAGCACAGCCCGATCATCCCAGGAAATGTGCAGTTCAAAGTGCCTCCACCATGTGGTACAATGACAGGGATTTCGGGGGTGTTCTGTTGCTTTTGGGAAGTTAGTATTCATGAGACACATTATGTGGACACATGGATCTCAGCACCCCCACAAACTGACGTTGTGGAGTTTACCATTCTAAGTCTAAGCGGGGCCACCATGAGGGTGGCATGTAGCCCAAACCCTCTGCACTCGCAGGTTCTTTGGGAGGCCTGTAATTCACTATTCTGTATTCTCAGGTCTGCCCCTTGCATTCCTGTCATTAAGTCACTTTGAAAGCCTTGGCCCCGGCTTATCATTTTTTCCATTCTTAGGCCAAGGCTATTTGTAGTTTCTCCACCTGTCACCCTATGTGTTAGGCTGCAAAGGCCAAGTGCAGTTTCATTAATAGCATAATACAAGCTCAAGCTTATTTAGAACACCGCGCTTTCTTTGAATGTTCCATTTTCGGGACCCTTTATGAGTCTTCACAGCTTTTTAGCTGTGAGATTTCACTTGGGTTGGGTAATACATATTGAGATAGATATTTAGTAAATGAGTTCCTTTTCAGGCCTGGGTTATTGCCATTAGTAAAGAAGGAATTTTTAATAACTTACTAATTTCATAATATGTTCATGATTAAAGAAGTTTCTGCATGTGTCCAAGCAATACAGATGCCATAAATGGATTGCTATAGAAGAAATACCCATGGAAAAGAAATAGGAAAACATAGTGGGATAGAAAACAAGGTTATTGGCTGGGCACAGTGGCTCATGCTCTAATCCCAGCACTTTGGGAGGCCGAGGCAGGTGGATCACCTGAGGTCAGGAGTTCAAGACCAGCCTGGCCAACATGGTGAAACCTCATCTTTACTAAAAATACAAAAAGTTAGCCAGGTGTGGTGGCACACACCTGTAATCCCAGCTACTTGGGAGGCTGAGGTAGGAGAATCCCTTGAACCTGGGAGGCAGAGGTTGCAGTGAGCCGAGATTGCGCCACTGCACTCCAGCCTGGGCAACAAAGCGAGACTCCATCTCAAAAAATAAAAATAAAAAAAAAAAAAATAAAGAAAAGAACATAAGAGGATAGCCTAATTTTCAGAGTGCAATTTATAGTGCAAAATAGAAAATATCACAATATTGTGACCTTTTAATTCGATAGTTAAATTGAGGAATTATGGAGAGTATTGGCCACAAAAGAAAATGGAACGTACCACAGGCCTAATGTAAAACACAAAACTATATAACTCGTAGAAGATAACATGGGAAAAAAGCTAGGTGACCTTGGGATTGGTGTTCACTTCCTAAATACAACACCAAAAGTACAATCCATGAAAGAAAAAAATAATTTTGGACCTCATTACAATTTAAAACATTTGTTCTTCAAAAGACACTGTTAAGAGAATGAAAAGATGAACCCATAGACTCGAAGAGAATATTTGCAAAATGTGTATCTCATAAAGGATTGGCATCCAAAATATACGAAGAATTCTTCAACAATGAGAAAACAAACAACTCAATTAAAAAATGAGCAAAAGAGCTGAACAGACACCTCAAGAAAGAAGATAATTGGTGGTAAATATGCATATGAAAAGAGGCTTATTAAATGTCATTAAAGATTGAACATTTAAACAATGAGATACCACTACCCAGTTACTAGAGTGGCTGAAATCCAAGACACTGACAGCACCAAATGCTGGTGAGGATGAGGAGCAACAGGAACTCTTGTTTATTGCTAGTGGGAGTACAAAATGGTCCAGCCACTTTGGAAGACAGTTTGGCGGTTTTTTAAAAACTACACATCATTTTCCGCGATTCAGCAATAGTGCTCCTTGGTATTGACCCAAATGAGCTTAAAACTTACGTACTTAGAAAAACCGGTCCATGAATGTTTATAACAACTTTATTCATAGTTGCCAAAACTTGGGGTCAATTAAGATGTCGCTTACTGAAGTAAGTGAATGAATAAACAAATTGTGGTACATCTGGAAAATGAAATACATTATTATTTAGCACAAAAAAGGAACGAGTTATCAAGCCATGAAAAGACAGGGCAGAAACCTGAATGTATATTACTAAGCGAAAGAAGCCCATCTGCAAAGGCTACATACTATGTAATTCTGATTATACAAGTTCTAGAAAAGGTAAAACTATGGAGACAGTAAAAAGATCCACTATTGCCAGGGGGTTGTGGGAAGGGAGAAATGATAGGGAGTGCACAGGGAATTTTAGAGCATTGAAACTATTCAGTATGATACTATAATGGTGAATACTTGTCATTATGCATTTTCCAAAACCAGCTGGGCACAGTGGCTCATGCTTGTAATCCTAGCACTTTGGGAGGCCGAGGCGGGTGGATCACTTGAGGTCAGGAGTTTGAGACCAGCCTGGCCAACATGGTGAAACCCCGTCTCTACTAAAAATACAAAAATTAGCCGGACGTGGTAGTGTGCGCCTGTAGTCCCAGCTGCTCCGGAGGCTGAGGCAGGAGAATTGCTTGAATCTGGGAGGTGGAGGTTGCAGTGAGCCAAGATTGTGCTGTTGCACTCCAGCCTGGGGGACAGAGTGAGACTCTGTCTCCAAAAAAAAAAAAAAAGAAACCACACAATATGAAGAGTGAACCGTAATGTAAATTATGGACTTTAGTTAGCAATAATATGTCAAGAATGGCTCATCAATTGTAATAAATGTCCTGCTTGGGTAGGGGATGTTGATAATAGAGGAAACTGTTGGGGAGGATGTAGGTGAGATTGTGTATAGGAGCTCTCTGTACTTTCTGTTCAATTTTTCTGTAAATCTAAAACTGCTCAAAAATAAGCATGAAATTTAAAAATTATGTAAAATCATTCTCTTCTTTTGACACAGAGTCTTGCTCTGTCACTCAGGCTGGAGTGCAGTGGCACAATCTCGGCTCACTGCAACCTCCACCTCCCAGTTTCAAGTGATTCTCTTTCCTCAGCCACCCGAGTAGCTGGAATTACAGGCACACGCCACCACACTCACACACTCAGCTAATTTTTTTTTTTTTTTAGTGGAGATGGAGTTTCACCATGTTGGCCAGGCTGGTCTCAAACTCCTGACCACAGGTGATCCACCTGCCTCGGCTTCCCAAAATGCTGGGATTACAGGCGTGAGCCACCACCATGGCCTAAAATTGTACTTTCAAAATTTTTACATACAATATAGTTATGTGTGTGCATTCTTTAAGTTCTCCAAAAATAACTGTAGGATACTTTGAGGGGGCCCGAGACCCTGCTATTATGCACATGAGGCCTACTGAGCCAGTCAGTGTTCAGTTAAGAATGAAATCCTGTTTAATGTGTGCAGAGTTTCAGTTTGGGAAAGTGAAAACTTCCAGAGAAGTATAATGACAATGGTTATACAACAATGTAAACGTACTTAATGCCACAGAACTGCACACACCTAAAAATGGTTAAAATGATAAACTTTATGTTAGGTGTATTTTGCCACAATAATTTTTTTAAAAAGGGCCCAGCACAGTGGCTCATGCCTGCAATCCCAACACTTTGGGAGGCCAAGGCAGGAGGATAACTTGAGCCTAAAATTTCGAGATTAGTTTGGGCAACATGGTGAAACCCTGTCTCTACAAAAAAAAACAAACATTAGCTGGGCATGGTGACGCACACCTGTAGTCCCAGGTACTTGGGAGGCTGAGGTGGGAGGATCGCTTGAGCCTGGGAGGTTGAGGCTGATCACGCCACTGTACTCCAGCCTGGGCAATAGAGCAAGACCCTGTCTCAAAGAACAAATAAGTAAAATGAATGAAATCCTGCAGAAATGCTAACTGCTAATCACCTAGTGCTACCACAGTGTTCATTTCAAATAAAAGCAATAAAGCAGGTGTCTGGAGAAGAAAAACTGGATTAATATTTCTGGGACTTTCCCATCTGTAAAAATGATCTCCAAGCTCTAAGATATTAAGCTTCCATAATTCTGTGACTTGATTTCACAGGAATGTTTGCAAAATGGGGAAGTTGGATGGCTCATGAAGCAAAAATGAAAGGAAAGGTTTCAGTTTCCATTCTATGATTTCAAATCAGTCTCAGCTATATTTCTGCATGGTCCTACCATCTGGAAAGAGGCTTCTAGGAAACCAGGCACAATTGTAAAGGGGTGAGTTTGCCTCTCTTGCTATTTGTGGTATTTTCCACGCTTCCTGAGTAGGCAGAACTTCTCAGCATCTCATACCTCCCCACCCTCTTCCTCTGGTACCCTCAGCAGATGCCCTTTCCTCCCTGGTGGCTCTAAAAGCCATCGAACATGAGTGTCTCATCTCCCTGAGACCAAACTCCCAAGCATCCTTGCACACATCTCCATCTTCCCTCCTCCCTCAGTGAGCCCCTGTCTGTCCCCTTCTCATGCTCTCTGATCCCATTCCTTTCTTCCTTTCATAGATACCTTGATCCATATCTCCCATTTCTCCCTCAGATCATTACTTCCTCCTTTTCTGGATTCTTTCCCTCAACATTCACATTTGCTCTAATATGCTCCAATTTTCTGTTTTCCTCACTTCTTTCTTGTCTTTTTATAGATAAAGGAAGTATTTTTTTCCTCGATCCAATTTTTCCCCACTTCTACTTTGAAAGCCATAAATTCTATTTCTATTCTTTTGGTAGTTAACATGGGAATTTTAACATGACATTTAAGATATCAACTTCTAAAGTCATAGACATCTTTATCCTCCTCCAGGACAATAACGAGGACCTAAAGACCACTGCAACACTGAGCACCCGTTCCTGACTTATGCTATTATTGTCATGCATTTTCTGATTGTTCTTGATGGTACAATTTTTTTTTTAGAGAGACAAAGTCTTACTCTGCCACCCAGGCTGGAATGCAGTGGCATGATCATAGCCCATTGCAGCTTTGAACTTCTGGGTGCAAGTGATCCTCTTTACTTAGCCTCCTGCTTAGCTAGGACTACAGGTACATGCCACCAAACCTGGCTGATTCTTAAAAAGTTTTTGTACAGATGGGGTCTCACTATGTTGCACAGGCTGGTCTTGAACTCCTGGCCTCAAGCAGTCCTCCCTTCTTGGCCTCCCAATTTTGGGATTGCAGGTGTGAGCCACCATACCTGGCCTAGATTTTTGTACATCAATCTTGCATCTTGAAACTTTATAAGAGTCATTTATTAGTTTTAGTTGCTTTTTTGTTGTTTCCATCAGATTCTCTACATAATCAAGTCATTTTTATATAAGGACACTTTTACTTCTTCCTTTCCAATGTGGATGACTTTTTACTTATTTTTCTTGCCTTTTTACACTGGATACTTCCTCCAGTACAATGTTGAATAGAACTAATAACCATGAAATCCTTGTTTTTTTCCGATCTTAGTTAACAGAAGGATTCAATATGTCACCAATGAGTATGATGTTTTCTGTTTTATTCTCTAGCAGGTTGAATAAGTTCCTCTATATTCCTAGCTCACGAAGACTTTATTTTTATTTTTATTTTTTATCAGGAATGGATTTTGGATTGTCTTTTCTACAACTATCAAGATAATTATACGGTTTTTCTTTTTTCTTTTTTTTTTTTTTTGAGATGGAGTCTCACTATTGTCACCCAGGCTGGAGTGGCATGTTCTCGGCTCACTACAACCTCTGCATCCTGGGTTCAAGCGATTCTCTTGCCTTAGCCTCCCAAGTAGCTGGGATTACAGGCACCCGCCGCCATGCTTGGCTAATTTTTGTATTTTTAGTAGAGATGAGTTTTCACCATGTTGGCCAGGCTGGTCTCAAACTTCCAACCTCAAGTGATCTGCCCGCCTCGGCCTCCCAAAGTGCTGGGATTACAGGCGTGAGCCACCACGCCCGGCCTATGGTTGTTCTTTATTAGCTTTTTGATATGGTGAATTACATGATTGTTTTAGAACATCAAGCCAGCCTTTTATACTTGAATAAACCCCACTTGGTCATGATGTATTCTTCTTTTTGCTCAACATCAAATTTTGAGCAATTTGATGTTGTTTTCTTCATGTTTCTTCTGCTTCATCTTCACAGAATGTATTCACTCTATGGGTCTTTATATTACTGTATTTGATTTACACAATTTATTTTAGAATATTTTGCATCTAAGTTCATAAAAAGATATTTTCTTATAGTTTTTGTTCTTGTAATGACTTTGTCTGATTTTGGTATGAGTTACGCTGGCCCTACCAGATGAATTAAGAAGCATTCTTTCTTGTACAACTTCTGGAAGTTTATATAGAAATGATGTCAGCCGGGCATGGTGGCTCACGCCTGTAATCCCAACACTTTGGGAGGCTGAGGCGGGTGGATCACCTGAGGTTGGGAGTTCGAGACCAGCCTGATCAACATGGAGAAACCCCGTCTTTACTAAAAATACAAAATTATCTGGGCGTGGTGGCACATGCCTGTAATCCCAGCTACTCGGGAGGCTGAGGCAGGAAAATTGCTTGAACCCGGGAGCTGGAGGTTGCAGTGAGCCGAGATCGCGCCATTGCACTCCAGCCTGGGCAACAAGAGCGAAATTCCATCTCAAAAAAAAGAAAAGTAAAAAGAAATGATGTCTCTGGTATAATTTATCAGTTAAGCCATCTGAGTCTAGAGCTTTCTTTGTGGTAAGGTTTTAAACTGCACTTTCAATTTCCTCAATCAGGCTATTTAGAGTGTCTGTTCTTGAGTAAAATCTAGTAATTGATATCTTTTAAGGAATTTGCCCATTTTATCTAAGTGGTTCAAAATTTTTGACATACAGTTTTTAAAAAATATTCCTTGATTATCGTTCTAATATTCATAGAATCTCGCATTTGAAACTCAGGAAAGCAGTGCAAAAATGTTGATACTCTGGCTACTGCTATTGATGTGAATAATAAAGTCCTTTGCCTCTGACCCAGGAGTCTCATGTCTTTTACCAGCATCCATGAAACTGGAGCAGTCCAGATTATTAACTTGCAAGTAGGGTAAATACTTTATGTACTTTAGTTCTTGATGTCCTTTACTTTGAACCTTTGTGTAACTTTATATATAAAGTGTATTTGCATAGGCAGCATACAGTTGGGTCTTACTTCTTTGTCCAGTCTGATAATCTGTTTTGTAAGTGGGGAGTTTAGACCATTTACATCTAATGCGATTATTAACATGGTTAGGTTTAAGTCAATCATCTTCCAAATGTTCCCTATTTGTTTCATCTATTCTTTTTCCTATTTTTTTCCTGCTTTCTTTTGGATCAATTGAATATTTTTAATGATTTTATCCCCTTTGTTGGTGTTTTAGCCCTAACTCCTTGATTTGTTATCTTAATAATTGTTTTAGGGATTGTAGTATATATCTTTAACTTATCAGAGGTCTATGTTGAAATTATATTTTATTACTTCACATGCAATATACAAGCCTTACAATAATATTCTTTAATTTCTCTTTTTCTGAACTCTGTGCTAGTGCTGCCATACATTTTACTTTTATATATTATAAATCTCATATTACATTGTTATTATTTTTCTAAACTGTTCATTCATTTTAAGAGATATTTCAACAATAAAAAAAATCTTATGTTCACTCATGTTATTACTATTTCTAACGCTCTTCTTTCTTTCGTAGAGATCCCTATTTCGATGGGGCATCATTTTCCTTCAACTTGAAGGATGTTAACATTTCTTTCTAGTGATGAGTTCTTTCACTTTTGTATGTCTGAAAAAGTATTTACCTTTATTTTGAGAGACACTTTCACTGGGTATAGGATTCCTGGTTTACAATGTTCTTTCAGTACTTTAAGATGTTATTTCACTGCCTTTTGGCTTGCATTGCTTCTAATGAGAACTCTGTTATAATTCTTATCTGTTCATAACCTGTCTTTCTTCTCTGTGTATAACACATCTTTTTTCCCCTGGCTACTTTTTTTTTTTTTTTGGAGACAAAGTCTCACTTTGCCACCCAGGCTGGAGTGCAATGGTGCAATCTCAGCTCACTGCAATCTCCGCCTCCTGGGTTCAAGCGATTCTCCTGCCTCATCCTCCTGAGTAGCTGGGATTACAGGCACGAGCCACCCCGCCCAGCTGATTTTTGTGTTTTTAGTAGAGACGGGGTTTCACCATGTTGGCCAGGCTGGCCTTGAACTCCTGACCTCAAGTGATCCTCCTGCCTCGGCCTCCCAAAGTGCTGGGATTACAGGCGTGAGCCACCATGCCCGGCCTCCCCTAGCTATTCTTAAGATTTTTTTCTTTGTCCCAAATTTTGAGCAATTTGATGTTGTTTTCTTCATGTTTCTTCTGCTTCATCTTCACAGAATATATTCACTCTATGGGTCTTCATTAAATTGGGGGAAATTTCAGTCACTATTTCTTCAAATGTTTTTCCTGTGCTCTCCTCTAACTCTTCTTTCTCCAGGATTCCAGTTACTTGGTCTATTAGGCTGCTTACTGTTCCACCCTCACTGATGTTCTGTTTCTGTTTTTTAATTCTCTTTTCTCTCTTTTTAAAATTTTTAATAATTTCTCTTGGCCGGGCGTGGTGGCTCAAGCCTGTAATCCCAGCACTTTGGGAGGTCGAGGCGGGCGGATCACAAGGTCAGGAGATCGAGGCCATCCTGGCTAATACGGTGAAACCCCGTCTCTACTAAAAATACAAAAAATTAGCCAGGCGTGGTGGCGGGCGCCTGTAGTCCCAGCTACTCGGGAGGCTGAGGCAGGAGAATGGCGTGAACCCGGGAGGCGGAGCTTGCAGTGAGCCGAGATCGGGCCACTGCACTCCAGCCTGGGCCACAGAGCAAGACTCCGTCTTAAAAAGAAAATTTTTAATAACTTCTCTTGCTAAGTATTCAAATTCACTAATCTTTCTGATGACTATTTAAAGCTAAACTGTTCGCTTGAGATTTTTGGAAGTATGATTTTGGACTGTAAGGCCAAACAAATGTGAGGGCCAGCTTACGTTTATAAATTCTTAGAGGAGGATTTTTTTCCCTTTCGCTCAGTGTCATGATTTAAGATGGAGCCTTCTTTCTCCCTTCCTTCCTTTCTTTCTTTCCTTCCTTCCTTCCTTCCTTACTTCCTTCCTTCCTTCCTTCCTTCCTCCTTTCCTTTCCCTTTCTCTCTCTGTCTTTCTTTCTTTCTTTCCTTCTTTCCTTCTTTCTTTCTTTTCTGAGACGGAGCCTTGCTCTGTCACCCAGGCTGGAGTGCAGTGGCGTGATCTCAGCTCACTGCAATCTCTGCCTCCCAGGTTCAAGCAATTCTCCTGCCTCAGCCTCCTGAGTAGCTGGGATTACAGGCACACGCCACCAAGCCTGACAAATTTTTGTATTTTTAGTAGAGACGGGGTTTCACCACATTGGCCAGGCTGATCTTGAACTCCTGACCTCAGGTGATCCACCCACCTCAGCCTCCCAAAGTGCTGGGATTACAGGTGTGAGCCACCACACCTGGCCGAGTCTTTTTATTTATTTATTGTATTGAACTTTACGAAATCTCGGCTCCCACTAGAAAAGTTTTAACATTGCTCAGGTGACAGAATGAATGAGGGAGGATGGAAGAGACCTTCCCATTATTTCATAGACCTCAGTATGAAGGCAATTACCTCTCTCTATAAACAAAATCCATCCTATCAACTTCTCAAAGGCATTTTGTTCTATTATTGGTAGAGTCAGGACTATTCCCTTTCTTAAAAGTTGCTTCTCTATGGTATTAAACATTTACAATGTTATTTTGCATTCATTATTTTATTTGTTCTTCGTAATACCCCTGGTGAAGTATGCAAGGCAAGAATTATTCACATTTTACAGCTGGGGAAGCTGAAGCTTGAAGAATAATTTGTCTAACATCACGCTGGTAATAAGTGATAATGCCAGATCTTGAATATAAATTCTGAAGTCCTGCCGATGTGAGACGTGAGTTTGATCCTTATGGTTAATAGTTTGCTTATATATGCCTCCAATGTATATTTTTAAGCTTAAAACATTAACTGGTTAATTAAAGGTGTTATGATCGATACTACAGCACAGACTGTTTAAACACTGTGCTTCTCAAACTTTAATGTGCATACAAGCCAGTGATGATCTTGTTAAAATGCAGGTTCTGATTTGCGAGGTCTCAAGGCTCTGCTGTGTAAAGCTCCCAGGCGAGGCTGCAGGTCTGCAGACAGAAGCATTTGAAATTGCAAGGATTTAGCAGATTTTTGCCAAATAAACAATGACTTATAATGTGAGGGGGAGTAAAGTGTGATTTAAAATGTCCTGGACTAGGGATCAGGTTATGTTGGCTCTAATCTTAAGAAAACACTTGCAGATGCTAGAACTTGGAGTGACGTTAGCGGTTTTCTAACCCAAGTTTTTCATTTTCTACATGTATGGAAATCAAGCCCGGTTGGACGTGATGGCTCATGCCAGTAATCCCAGCACTTTGGGAGGCCGAGGGGGGTTGATTACCTGAGGTCAGGAGTTTGAGACCAGCCTGGCCAACATGGCAAAACCCCCATCTCCACTAAAAATACAAAAAAATTAGCTGGGTGTGGTGGCGGGCACCTGTAATTCCAGCTACTCAAGAGGCTGAGGCAGGAGAATCGCTTGAACCTGGGAGGCGGAGGTTGTAGTGAGCCAGGATCATGGCACTGTACTCCAGTCTGGGCAACAAAAGTGAAATTCCGCCTCAAAAAAAAAAAAAGAAGGAAATCAAGCTCAGAGTGATAAGGAAAGCTGCCTGGAGTCACATAATTAGGGAACTGGAACCTGGGTCCACGTGGCTCTAATATCAGTTCTTTTTCACGAAGCACACTGCCTCTCTAGACAGTAGTGATAATTAGAGCTGGGGCAGACTCCTTAATCTCTTAGCTTCAATATCCTTATCTTTAAAATGAGAGGCCTGGATATGAACACTAAGATTCCCCTATCACTAATACTCGCTAATAGTTAATCTCCCTTATTTCTCACATTGGAGAAGAGTAGAGGGAGAAAAAATGAGTCATCTGCTGCTATAGAACTTTAGACCAAAGACAATTAACCCAAGCACAAAGTAGTGTTTAAAATAAAATGTCAAGTGCAGATGTACCCTGTCCATAGTTAGAAGAGAGTCCTCTGGTTCTCGGACCCTATCAAGTGAGAAAATTGTATTGCCTTTTGCCTCATAACACTTGTATTATTTTCAGGTAAGTTGCCTTAAGGACTAAATTACCGGGGGAGACTTGGAACTTGGCTTACTTTCTGTGACTAAGAGACAACAAAACTCATCATCGAATCCCTTTATCATTGCCAAGTCTTGCAGAAGGAACCTTTAATAACCCTTCAGTGGTGGGCTTCCTACACTTCCTCCACCACCTGACTTTTTTCTGTCTAGATCTTCAGGGTCCATTATGAAGCACTGGAAAAGAGACACTCAGTGTAATTGATCTTTGAAAGATGTGCTTGGAGATTTCTCTTGGATAAAGAAAATAAAAGTTTCTAACAATTTTATGATTTTTCAGATAGCAAGTGTATTTGTATGAATGTTCAGACAAAGATAATGAAAGCACATTACTCAATATAATGTACAAAATTAAGAAAAAGAAGATTAAAATAGAATGGCAAAATTTCAGGCTTTCTGCCAAAATGAAACAAACTAGCCTTTTGATGCATTCGGTAGATCCATACATCCTGATTACAATTTGAATAAACAATGGCTATTTCTTCTTTCTAGAAATGGGATCTTGCTAACTTGCCCAGGCTGGACTCAAACCCGGCCATAATAACCATTTTTAAATCTCCATTTAAATCTTGATGAAGGTTTGTCCTACCAATAGGCTTTGTCCCAAGCATAGAACCTTATCTATATAACATATCTTTATACCTATATAACCATACCTATATAACATACCTGAGTAGCAGATTCTCAAAAGGCAATTTCATCTATGCCAGGGCTGATGCCCTCCAAATCTCTCCTCCAACCAAATCACTCTCCTTGCCCTAGATCCACAAGTTGGGTCTGACCATTGAACGTGTCCCCAAACTGAATTCACCATCTTCCCTATGACTTCTGCATACTCCTATACCTGTTCCTTTCTCTCTATTGTCTCAAGGAGTGGTACATCCACCCACTGGCCAAGTCAGGAACCTAAGAGGAAACCTAGATTCCTTTCTCTATCTTCCTCTGCCTCCATCAAATCAATTAAAATATTATCTTTTGGCTGGGTGTAGTGGCTAACTTTTGTAATTCCAGCACTTTGGGAAGCCAAGGCAGGAGGATCGCTTGAGTCCAGGAGTTGGGGACCAGCCTGGGCAACATAATGAAACCCCGTCTTTAGAAAAAAATAAAAAAATTAACCAAGTGTGGTGGTGCACACCTGTGGTCCCAGCTACTTGGGAGACTGAGGTGGGAAGACAGCTTGAGCCCAGGAGTTCGAGCCTGCAGTGAGCTATGATCATACCACTGCACTCCAGCCTGGCGACAGGGCAAGACTCCATCTCAAAAATAATAATAATAATAAAACAAAAAATACAATAAAACATCCCCTTCTTTCACCTTCCAGATGTCTTTCATGCCCATTTCCTTGACTCCATCCCCACTGCCATTGTTCCAGCTCCCTCTTATCCTCTGCCACTGGAATGATCTTTCTAACATGGTAATCCAACCGTGTGTACCTGAGCAAATTCTCCAGTAGCTCCTCCTGACATATAGAACCAATTTTTATGGTGCAGTGTGGCATATAAGGCCCCTCCTCATGGTTTGCACCAGCCCACGTGCCCATGTGTCCAGTTTTATTTCCTGCCATGCCCCATTGTGCCACCTTTCAGGCTCAGGGCTGTAAAGGGGCTCCATGCCTTTGCACGTGTTGTTCTTTCTTTCTAAACACTAACCCCGGTTTACTAACCTGGGAAACTTCTACTTGTCTTTCACATATCAGCTAAAATCCCACTTCCTCTGCAAAGCCTGTCTTGCCCTATCGAGTCAGACCTCATTCCAATCTTCCTATACAACCTCACATTTGCACACACTCCCGTTAATGCTCTTAGATGATTGCACTAGAGCTCTTCGTGTGTGATTCTCTCCTCATTAGCTCATGAGCTTCTTGAAGGTGAGAACACTTTACTTTCTTCTTGGTATCACCAGCACCTACCATGGTGCTTAGCACTTAGAATAAGCATAAAAAACATTTGCTGAATAGAGACATGAATGAACGATATTGATATATATCACTCATCACTCCTTTTTGACCTGCCTTATCCAAATTGCTTGGCTGAGCCAGAACTGATTAGGAGAAAATTCTAAAAATTCCACTTTTGTTACATGGGAATATTCCTAAATTGGAGTGGCCCAGGGAGGTGGGTCATTCGAAAACGAAAGTTGAAACTACTTTCCCCCAAGCTCGTGTTTGGAAAATTCTTTTGCCTTGTGTTTCCTTATGGTCTCTGGAGAGAATCATTAGACTAAATACAAGAGTTGCATCAGAGGAGACTTGAATACCTTGGATCAGAATCAACCAGCTAAAATGAGATAGACTGAGAATACTGCTTTGAGAAACAGTGTTATAGTGACTCAGAAGTCTGATATCAGATAGATCTATGTTTGAATCTTGACTGCAACATTTACTAGTTGTAGGCTGATTTACTTATTGATGGCACAGTGATTTTTTTTTAATGGTCTACTATGTTGCAGGCATCGTTCCAGATTCTGGGGACAGTGAGAGCTAACATTAGTGAAGCATTTAGCACACACTTGGCAAATATCATGCTCTTAACATGTGGTAGATATTATTATTAGTAAATCCATACTAGTCCAGACATCCAAAATTCAGACAGTGATGCTCCAAGAAACCATAAATATACCAGTGGCATTAAAGATGTTCTTAAGGAATTATTCGAGCCACCACCTGAGTTCCAGTCAAAATTAAAGTCTTTGCCCACCTCTCTCACTTCCTCATTGTCTTCTAGCACTGTGCCCTGGTCTTCACCGTCTAACATCCTACATCCTAAAAACATCCTACATCCTAAAAACATCCTACATCCTAAAAACAGTGCATATATCCTTCCATTTTTCAAAAGTCCGAATTACATCTCCCTACTCAGAACCCAAACTCAGATTCATCAAGTCTGTCTCAGACATTGCCTGAATCAAACAATTGGCCCAGATGGATATTCATGAATGGGTGAACTTAACCCCTATATGCCCTCCAACTTCCCAATCCCCACTGGAAAGTAAGAGTGCACTCCTGGGGCTATCTTAGCTTGAGTGGATCCTGAAGGGCATGTCTGGCAGGGAGAGGGCTGCTGCCCTAGAGATTCAAGTTTATCAAAATGGAACGGAAGTAAAGTCAGGTGGGAGACATGGTTAGAAAATGAGAGAATAACTGAGGTTGACATTAGGAGATAGAGTAAAAAACCAAGGAATGCAGGAACCAGGGAAATGGGACTAGAACCTGGGTGGACTGAGCAAATGGGAGGAGACTTCTGGGAATGCCTGGGGTTCCCAGGCATTCAGGGTTGCTGCTGCCCAAGTGTTTACTGGGCTGTGATACACAGGTAACCTGTAGAATCATCTATACCCTAAATGAAGAACTTAGCCATCTAAACAGCTCTCCAGCTAGTGGAATGTTTGGAACACAATTTTTGAGCTAATAAACTTCTGAAACTCCTTGCCATCTGAAATTTCAAAAGGACCTATCTCCTTCCCCCTCTCTTTCCCTCCTTGCTGTCCCTTCACCCCCATCTCTCCCAAATACATGCAAAGGTGGATGGTAAAAAAAAGTTCAGGCTGGGTGCAGTGGCTCATATCTGTAATCCCAGCATTTTGGGAGGCCGAGGTGGGTGGATCACTTGAGGTCAGGAGTTCAAGACCAGCCTGGCCAACAGGGTGAAACACCATCTCTACTAAAAATACAAAAAATTAGCTGAGCGTGGTGGTGCGCACCTGTAATCCCAGCCACTTGGGAGGCTAAGGCAAAAGAATTGCTTGAACCTGGGAGGTGGAGGTTGCAGTGAGCCAAGATTGTGCCACTGAACTCCAGCCTGGGCAACAGAGTGAGACTCTGTTGCAAAAAAAAAAAAAAATTAATCAACCTTACTGAGACAACACTGCATTTAGGAATGAAGATCTCCATGCAGGGATATAGAAAGATATCCAAGATGCAGTGTTACATTAAAAAAGGAAGCTGTACCACAGTTTGTATAGTTTAATCCTATTTAAGTTTTTAAAAAATAATAGTTATGAGTTAATATGCATAGAAAAATTCTGAAAGGATCACAAGACTCTGTTAACATTGGTTGTTTGTATGGTTAGGAAAAAGCATTACATTTATAAATGCACACTTATAAAAAACAAATGGTTAAGCCCTATTGAACAGCCGCATTTGCATTAGATCAAGCACTATTGAACAGCCACATTTGCATACCACCCACCTGTACTTTTTTCACTTTTTAAAGGGGCTCTGCACTTCATGGTAACTCAAGAGAACTGTAAACATCATCAATAGGAAAGAGAATGTGGGTTGATGCAGAATCAGTGCTGAAAATGCCAAGGATGTCTTCTTGTGTTAAGTCTGTTCTTAACAATAAGTAACAATTATTGGATTGAATTTTATCTTTTGTTATTTTACCTATACTGTCTTCTGACTCTGTGAAAAAGACCTAGGTGTCTTAACTGATGGCAAGTTCAATAGAAGCTTCTGTAGGCGGACAAAAAAATCAAATGCAAAGTTAAATTGCACTACTAGATGTGATGTTCAGTTGTTGATAATGAGTGTTCTTTGAGCTGGCAAGAACGCAGCTAGTAATAAAGGCTACCATTTATTATAAATGTAACATGTACTCATTGTAAAAAGAAAAACAAATAGTACAAAATTGTATGAAATAAACACAGTTTAGTTCCCCCATCTTTCCACCCCTACCTATTCCCCACAGTTCTCTGATAGGAACAGTTTGGGATGTTTTCTTCCAGATGCAAATATTTCATCTTACAATTCGTTTTTCATTTCTAAATCACAAACATCAAAATTGAGAGATGTTTCATAATCATTAATCAGTCCCCTACACATGGACATTTGTCTGGATCTGTACGGTAGATTCAAAAAGCAGAATTTCTGAGTCAAATGGTACAATTACAATTTTTGATTAGTTACAAATCCTTTCCAAATAGGTTGCATCGAAATCACCTTTTAGAAACAGTATATATACATGCAGAAGTTTGTCCAGAAAAAAATTAAGAAGGCAATGTGACATAGCTGTGGAATATGTAGCTTTTGTAATAATTAATAATTCTTAATAGATGCTATTATGGTGAAGAACCCTCCCACCTCGGCCCATGAGTCAGTAGGACCACAGGTGCTTAGACATCTTCTCTGGAGCGACTAATAGGTAGAAGTTACATCACTTCTTCCAAAACTAAGATGAATTCGGGGAACCATAGATTGTTCAATTTGGTGAACTTTAAGAAAAAAGGATATGAAATTATGACTCCTAAATTACAAGCTGTTTGACCTTGGACATATTATATAACATCTCCCACCCTCAGTTCTCTAATTTGTTTGTTTGCTTGTTTTTGGAGACAGTCTCACACTGTTACCCAGGCTGGAGTACAGTGGCATCATTGTGGCCTCGACTTTACGGGCTCAAGCAACCCTCCCACCTCAGCCCCTGAGTTAGGAGGACCACAGGTGCATGCCACTATGCCCAGCTAATTTTTTTAAAAAAATTCTTTTTGTAGTGATGGGGTCTCACTGTTTGCCAAAGCTGTTCTCGAACTCCTGGCCTCAAGTAATTCTCCCGCTTCAGCCTCTGAACACACTAGGATTACAGGTGTGGGCCATAGCATCAGGCCTCCTCATTTGTAAAACGGGAATCTTTGTTTCTTCCTCCTAGGCAGCTGTGCAGATTACTGAGATGATTTATGATGACCACAATGTTTCCCACACAGAGAGCTCTTAATAGATGCTACTATGGTGAAGAACCTGGAGAACAAGTATCGTGAGATAATACCAAAGAACTTGTGTGTACTGTTGATTGCCTTAAAATGTTTGAATCAGATTAGACATCTTCTCTGGAGCTCCAGAAGAAAGGTGGAGCTACTAATGGGTAGAAGTTACATCACTTCTTCCAAAACTAAGGTGAATTCGGGGGACCATAGGTTGTTCAATTTGGTGAACTTTAAGAACAAAGTATACGAAATTATGAATCCTAAACTTGATACTGAGTCATGAAGGGGCCATGCAAGTGAGGGTCTCTAAAGTTTAAGCTTCAGTAAATCCACCTTCAGATGAGTCACTGTGAGAGAGTGAACTTCCTAGGACTGAAAAATTACATTCTGGGTCACAGCAGCTATGCCAGAGGTCTAGAAATAATGCAAGTAAGCAAGTTATTTATTTTTTTAAATTTTTTTTAAATTTTTTTTGGTCTTTAACAGTGTTCTTTAGTTGACTCCTGTACTGGGTGGGAATTCAGACTAGATAACATTTACTAGCTCTTAAATGTCTCTGTCTCCTGAATCTGAAAGTTGTTGGTACACATCAAAATACCCTAAATCTATGTATCCTGAAGGAGAAGAAAGAACGGGTAATTTACAACATGAGTTATTCTTCCTTAAATAATTAATAGTACCTAAAATTAAAGTTTCTTTTAGGAACAAGGACTGCACGATGATGTGGTACAGTGCAGAACTGGAAAGAAGACTGAGAGGGTCTCGGGCAAGATGAGAGGGGGGCTTGAAGATTAATACCATGGAAGAAGGAAGGCAGCGGGGAGGCAGACAAGCAAGGTTTGAGTATCCCTGGCAGGGAGTGGGATTCTTATGCATGTCAAGGACATTTCAGAGATTCCGATTCTGATTCTTGGGTCCTGGAATTTTCCATTACCTTGAGGTGAAGAAATGGCTGGGTGAGAGTTTGGGCAGTTGACCTGAAACAAAGGCCTGAAGAGGAACCTGTGGAAATGGAATTGTGACCTCTAACTGTGGCTCTGTCACTAACTAGTAGATCTCAACTAAGTCCCATAATCCCTTAGCAGTGGTTAGCAACAGTCCTGGGGTCAAGTTCTAGGTTTTACCAACTATGAGTTGTATGAGCTTGGGCAAGTTACTTAATCTCTGTAAACCACAGTTTCCTCATGTGTAATGGGGGATGGTTATACTTGCTTCAGACATAAACTTGCTGTGAGATTTAATTAGCTAGCATTCAAAGCATTCCCAGAGTGCCTTGCAGAAAGTGTCCAATAAATGTTAGCTATATTTGTTAGTTTTTTAAAAAAAAATATAGACATCTATATGCACTTTTTTAAATATTTTTTTTGGTACCAGGTGTAATGAAAATTCAAACTGTACAAAGTCAGGTCCTTGCTTTCCAGGAGTGTATAATCTTCTAAGGGAAATAATATATAATTATTTATGATTCAAGGCAGTATTTGTTAGTTACACATAACTGGTATTCGAAAGGTTTTTGAAATACAGAGGTGAGTCGCTTCTGGCTAAAATTATCAGGAGGTGTTTTAGAGAAGGCATTTCAGATGGGCCTCCAAAGACAGGCAGAGTTTTAAAAATTAAAATTTGTGAGATATACTGAAAGAATCACGATCCAGTCCAAATTGTTAGGGCAACAGAGAAACACACAGTTCATTTTTAAACAGCTTTGTTGAGATATAGTTGGCATAAAATGAACTGTGCATATGTAAAATGTACAATATGATATGTACATATATCCCTGCAAAACCATCACTGCAATCAAGATAATGAACATATCACCCAAAAGTTTTCTTATGCCACTTTGAAATCCTTCCTTCCCACCCACACCCAGGCCTTCCCAATTTGCAGGCAACCACCAATCTGTGCTCTGTCAGTGTAAATTTGCTTGCATTTTCTGGAATTTTCTGTAAGTGTAATCATAAGATATGAACTTTTTTATGTGTGCCTTATTACACTCCACATAATGATGTTGAGATAGTTCATTGCTTTTTATTGTTGAATAGTACTCTATTCATGAATTTACAATTGTTCTTCCATTGATGAAGATTCAGACTGTTTCCAGTTTTTGGTTATTGCAAATAAAGCTGCTACGAACATTGATGTCCAAATGTTGGTATGGACACACACTTTCTTTTCTCCTGGATAAATACCTCAAGTGGAACGGCTAAATCATATAGCATGTGTCTAACTGTTTAAGAAACTGTCAAACTGTTTTCCTAAGTAGTTCTACCATTTTATATTCCCACTGACAATGTGTGGGAATTCCAGTTTCTCCATAACCTTCCCAACACTTGATATGTTCAGACTTTTAGAGTTTAGATATTTTTATTGGTGGGTAGTTGTAGCTCATTGTGGTTTTAATTTGCATTTTTCTAATGACTAATAATGTTGACCATCTTTTCATATGCTTATTTTCCATTAGTGTATGCTCTGATGTATCTTTTAAAGTCTTTTGCCAACCTTTTATTGGGATTGAGTATTTTCTTACTGTTGAATTTAGAGAGTTCTTTATGTATTTTGGATATAAGTCCATTGTTGGATATGTGATTTGAAAATATTTTTATTCTTTTTACCATTACTGTGTTCAATTTGCTGATATTTTGTTGTGGGTTTTTGCATCTGTGTTAATGAGGAAAATTGGTCTGTTTTCTTTCTTTCTTTCTTTCTTTCTTTTTTTTGCATTATCTTTGTCTGGTTTTGGTGCCAATGTAATGCTGGTCTCCTGAAATGAGCTGGGAAGTGTTCCTTCTATTTCTGTTTTCTGGAAGAGATTGTGCAGGGCTAGAGTTATTTCTTTCAATGTTTGGTAGATTCTGCCACTGAAGCCATCTGAACCTGGAGATTTCTTAGTACAATTGAATTTTGTACATCTATCTTATATTCAACCTACAGCTTTGATAAACCAACTTATTAGTTCTAGTAGCTTTTTTGAAGTTTCCATCATATTTTCTACATAGATGATTATGTCTATAAATAAACATATTTTTACTTCTTCTTTTTCAATCTGGCTATTTACTTGCCTTGCCTTTTTCTTTCCATTTCTTTTTCAATACCAGTACAATGTTGAATAGAAGTTGTGAGAGCAGACATATGGTTTGCTCCTGATTGTAGGAGAAAAGCATTCAGATTTTCAGCACTAAGAATGGTGTTGGTTGAAGGTTTTCTCACAGATACCCTTTAACAGGCTCCCTTCTATTCTAGTTTGCTGAGAATTTTATCTGTAATGGATGTTGGATTTTGTTAAATGCTTTTTTGTATCTATTGAGATGATCATATGGTATTACTCTTTTAGTCCACTAATATGATAAATTAATTGATTTTTGAATATTAAACCAATCCTGCACTTCTGGAATAAACCCATTTGATCACCATGAAACCAATTTACTAAAATTTTGTTAAGAATTTTTGCAACTATTTTCATGAAGGATATTGATCTGTAGTTTGTGTTGTTAAAGGGAGCTCTCCATTTCATCTAAGTTGTTGAATTGATTGTCATACAGTATAGGTATGAAAGTATAGTATAGATACAAAAGAATAATATGTGAATATTAAAATATTCACATATTAAGTATATTCTTAATAGTAATATTCACAGATTATTATTTTAATATCTATAGAAACTGCAGTAATGTCACCTCTTTCATTTCTGTTATATATAATTGGTGTCTTCTTTCTTTTTTCAGTGTGGCTCGAAGCATATCAATTTTATTTGTTTCCTCAAAGAACCAGCTTTGAGCTTATTGATTTTCTCTCCTGGGTTTATGAATGTCAATGATTTCTACTTTGATCTTTATTATGCCTTTTCTTTTGCATACTTTACTTTGCCCCTTTTTTCTAGTTTCTTAAGGTGGAAGCTGAGGTCATTGATATAAAATCCTTCTTTTCTAATATAGGCATTTAGTGCTATAAATTTCCTCTTAAGTCCTGCTTTAGTGATATCCTGCAAATTCTTTAATTTTCATGTAGTTAAAAATCACTTTCTAAAATTCTTTAAAATTTTTTTCTTTGATCCATGGGTTAACTAAAAATGTGTTATTGAATTTCAGGTATCCAAGGAATTTTCAGAGATCTTTCTGACTACTAACTTAATTCCATTGTTATCTGAGAACACTCACTTTATGATTGAATTTTTTAAATTTATTGAGAGTTGTTTTACAGCCCTGAAAATGACCTGTCTTGATTTTCATGCTGGTTCCCCATAACCTCCAAGTCCCATTGAGGTGACAGCAAAGGGCTCATAATGAAAGCCTGCACACACAGTGAGTCTCGTTATAGAAGAGGAACACTGAGCTTGTGCCGCAGGAACTTTTATAGCAACCAAAAGCAAGACATTTTTGCTTGGGAGTAGATCTTACTGCATTTGTCAAGGCTGCACATTGCAAACACAACCCTGAGAAATGGGCGGGGTAAAGAGCTGTCAGGGTCCTATCATTTCTGGCAGACCAGCAAGAATGTGCAGACATATTCAGGACAGATGGTGAATTGTTCTTTCAGCAAACTCACTGAAGCTCTTTTCATTCTTTTGGATTATTTTTTCTTTCTGTGTTTCATTTTGGGTTGTTTCTATTGCTATGCTTTCAAAGTTCACTAATCTCTTCTCCACTGTCTAATCTTCCCTTAATGCCATTCAGTGTATTCTACTTCTCAGACATTTTAGTTTTCATCTCTGGAAGTTTTATTTGAGTCTTTTAAAACGTATCTTTCATATCTGTATTTAAGTTTTTGAACATACAGAATACAGTCATAGAAACTGTTTTAATGTCCTTATCTGCTAACTTTAACATCTGTTAGTCCTAAGTCAGCTTCAATTGATTTATATTCTCATTATTATGGGTGTGTTTTCCGTCTCTTGGTATGTCTGGTAATCTTTTAACTTTAATTTTTTTATTTTTTGAGACAGAGTCTCACTGTATCACCCAGGCTGGAGTGCAGGGGCGTGATCTTAGCTCACTGTAGCCTCTGCCTCCTGGGTTCAAGTGATTCTCCTGCCTCGTCCTCCCAAGTAGCTGGGATTACAGGCACCCACCACCACACCCGGCTAATTTTTGTATTTTTGTAGAGACGGGGTTTCACCTTGTTGGTCAGGCTGGTCTCAAACTCCTGACCTCAGGTGATCCACCCGCCTCAGCCCCCCAAAATGCTGGGATTACAGGTGTGAGCTACCACGCCCCGCCATGCCTGGTAATCTTGTATTGAATGTCAGGTTTTGTGATGTTTTACCTTGTTGGGTGCTGGATATTTTTGTATGCCTATAAATATTCTTGAGCTTTGTTTTGTGATGCAGTTACTTGGAAATGGTTTTAATCTTTTGGGTCTTGTTTTTATGATTTGGTTAACCAGCTTAGAGCAGTGCTCTATTTAGGACTAATCATTCGGCACTGCTGAGGCAAGACCTTCCTAAGTATTCTACTCAGTGCTCTGTGAATGATCAGTTTTTTCCAGTCCTGCGGGTGGAAGGCAGTGGTTGTTTCAGGAAGAATTATCCCAGTTCCCCATACTCCACCTTCGCCACAAGTGGAAGTCCCCTTACTAACTTCTTGACTTTGTCTGTTACTTCTTAAAGTACTTTTTTTTTTTTTCCTGTTCTCCCACTTCAGAGACTCCAGTTACTTGGATACTAAGCTGCATGAAGGCTTCTCACAGCTCACAGATCCTCTGGTCATTTCTTATTTTATTTTATTTTTTTTGAGACGGAGTCTCACTTTGTTGCCCAGATTGCAGTGCAGTGGTGCGATCTCGGCTCACTGCAACCTCCACCTCCCGGTTCAAGCGATTCTCCTGCCTCAGCCTCCCGAGTAGCTGGGATTACAGGTGCCCACCACCGTGCCCGGCTATTTTTGTATTTTTAGTAGAGACGGGGTTTCACCCTGTTGGCCAGGCTGGTCTTGAACTCCTGCCTTCAGGTGATCCGCCCACCTTGGCCTCTCAAAGTGCTGGGATTACAGGCGTGAGCCACTGCGCCTGGCCGTGCTCATTTCTTAAACCTGTTTTCTCTCTGTGTGTTTCATACTGGATTTTTTTCTACTGCTATGCCTTCAAGTTCACTCATCTTTTCTAATGCAGTATCTATAGGCAAACGCGTTTAGTGTATTTTAAAATTTCAGATGTAGTTTTCATCTCTAGATATTAAATTTTTCATATCTCCTCTGTCTCTACTTGTCAGGTTCAATCTTTCCTCTAGCTTCTTAAATATATGGAATATAGCAATAATCACTCTTTTAATGTTCCTTTCTACTAATTCTATCATCTGTGTCAATTCTAGGTCAGTTTTGATTGATGGATTGTTCTCATTATGGATCATATGTGCCTGCTTCTTTGCACACCTGTGAAAAATTTGGTAATATTTCACAGGTGGCAGAAATTGCAAATTTTACCTTTGGGTAAAATTTGAGTGTTGAATGTTTTCATATTCCTATAGATATGTTTGAGCTTTGATCTGGGACATGGTTAAGTTACTTGGAAATTACGATTTTCAGGTCATGCTTTTCAGGTTTTGCAGGCAGGACAAGTACAATATTTCATCAGGAGCTAATTTCCCTCCAGGTTGGAGTACTCTGATGCTTTGTGGATTATAAGGTTTTCCACCCTGGCTGATGGAAACAGGAACTATTCCTGGCCCGTTATGAATTTAAGAATCATTCCTTCTATTCCTTTCGGGACCTTCTTTCCTTGGCCTCAGGCAGTTTCCTCTCATGTATTCACTGATCAGATTCCAGGGAACAGCAAATCTCCAGGATTCTCTCTCTTTGCAGCTCCATTTTCTGCTGTAATTGGCCTTGCAAATTCTAATGTTTGGTCTCTCTGAACTCTCAGTTTATGGAGACCAGTAAGCTGTGCCTGGGTACCTCTTTGTTGCATTGCATCTTGAAAGTTTTCTCCAGACTGTAAGCTGGGGCAATTGCAGTACTCACATCATTTATTTTCTGCCTCTGAGGGTTCATTGTCCCTCTTTGCCTGATGACTAATGTCTTGAAAACCATTGTTTTATGTGTTTTTTTCCCCAGGCTTTAGTTGTTTCAGGCAGGATGGTAAATCTGGCGCTGTTTTTTCCATCTCATGAAGTCCCCACGTTAATTTTTGAAAACTAAGTTGAACGATGTAGCACTTTTTGTAATTGTACATCCAATTTCTTTTCTTTTCTTTCTTTCTTTTTTTATTTTTTTTTGAGATGGAATTTTGCTCTTGTCGCCCAGGCTGGAGTACAGTGGCGCAATTTCTGCTCACTGCAACCTCCACCTCCTGAGTTCAAGCGATTCTCCTGCCTCAGCCTCCTGAGTAGCTGGGATTACAGGTGCATGCCACCACAGCCAGCTAATTTTTTTATTTTTATTTTTTTTAGTAGAGATGGGGTTTCATCATGTTGGCCAGGCTGGTCTTGAACTCCCAACCTCAGGTGATCTACCCACCTCGGCCTCCCAAAGTGTTGGGATTACAGGCCTGAGCCACTGTGCCCGGCCCAGTTTCTAATAGGTAAAATTTATTGATCCACTTGTTTCAAGAGTATGATTTTAATCCAAAATATAAACTCTAAATTTTAAATTTAAATCCAAGTAAATTAGCTCAGTCACTATTTCCAGGGATACTACTTCTCTCAACAAATGAGCACCACTGTGCGGTGGACACGCCTGTAGTTGCTGGGGTCTACAACTGTGGACGAGACAAAATCCCTGCGTTTGAGGAATTTACATCCTAGTGAGAATGTTTTTGAAAATGTTAATGTGGCGGGGCGTGGTGGCTCACACCTGTAATCCCCACTTTTGAAGGCTGAGGCAGGTGGATCACCTGAGGTTGGGAGTTCGAGACCAGCCTAACCAACATGGAAAAACCCCGTCTCTACTAAAAATACAAAATTAGCCGGGTGTGGTGGCACATGCCTGTAATCCCAGCTACTCCGGAGGCTGAGGCAGGAGAATCGCTTGAACCGGAGAGGTGGACGTTGCGGTGAGCCGAGATCGTGCTCTTGCACTCCAGCCTGGGCAACAAGAGTGAAGCTCCATCTCAAAACAAAACAAAACAAAACAAAGTTAATGCAACCTGTTTGCTAATTGTTATCTTTCTGCATAAAGCCCCAAACAGTAACGGTGAGTGATGTAAAAATTCTAAGGAACAATGATAAATCCAGACAAACTCAACTTGAAACATGTCCACAAATTAGTAGCCCTGAATCACAAAAAATTCTGTAGCATCTGTGGGCAACGTTTATTCAATTGAGATATAAACTGAATTGCAGGCAGGCATCCCATCAGCTCGTCTGGTGCCTAAGGCAACCTCTGGTTTACAGTAGTTGCTTAATACATATTTGATTTAAAAATTTCAGCCTACTTGTCCCAAGGGTCCTCATTTTGCTTCCTGCGGCAGCATAACTGATAGGGAACAGCTAGCCAGCACTAGGGGGATGAAAAGGCGTTAAGTGCAACCCACAGGGCGACATGGAAATATAACACGAAGCTGGCCGCTTGCCCTTCATTGTCAGCTCTCTTAAATTTATGCCCGGTAGGTGAGAGCTGACACTTCCTGCCTTTGGTTTGGTTCCTAACATTTTAATAGGATGGATCCAAATCCTGTGCCTTGATTTCCCCAGGTGAGGGTGAGGAGGAGAGAAAGAAGAGGGGGGTTCTGTAGCTTTTAAACTTTACTCCTTAGGGGCCTGTATGTATGTATGTGTGTGTGTGTGTGAGAGGGAGGAAGAGAAACAGAGAGAGAGAAGAGAGAGACAGAGATGAGAGAGGTATGAGAGACACAGGAGAGAGAGACAGATGAGAGAGAGAAAGAGAGACACGACAGAGAGAGAGAGACGAGAGAGAGAGAGACACGGGAGAGAGAGACAGAGGAGAGAAGAGGAGAGGAGAGAGACACGAGAGACAGATGAGAGACAGTGAGACACGAGAGAGAGAGAGAGATGAGAGGAGAGAGAGACATGTGAGAGAGACACAGGAGAGACAGAGATGAGAGAGAGATATGAGAGAGATCTATGAGAGAGAGACACTGGAGAAAGAGGGACAGAGATGAGAGAGAGACAGACGAGAGACAGACACAAGAGAGAGGGACCGATGAGCGGAAAGAGAGGCACGAGAGAGAGATGAGAGAGAGAGAAGAGGGGTCTCCAATGAATATGTGGGAATATATGGAAAACGCGAATATCCAAATGATATTTGGAAAACTTGGCTGTGTTGGGGTGGTCAGGGACCCAGCCTCTTAGGTGTCCCTCCCCTGGCTCGCGATCACCCACCCGGGACACCGACGGACCCCGCGCCGCTAACCAGCCGCTCTCAGAGCGTGGGTGGCAGGCGTGGCTCTGCTCGGGGCCGGCCGCTCCCCTCACGTTCCCGGAGGCCTCGGCGGAAGGCGTGCAGGCGGCCTCTGGGCGGCGGCTGCAGGGGAGACAGTGGAGGGGCCCGGCGCCCTTGTCCGCCCGCACGTGCTCGGGGCGGGGCGGCTGGGGCCCGACGGGCGGGGCCGGGGGCGGTGGCGGCGGGGGCGTGGCCGGGCGGCCACGTGACGGGCGGCGCGGCTATTAAGCCGCGCGGCAGCTGCTCGCAGCCGGAGCTGGTGCTTCGCCCGAGACCCAGCGCCCAGGCGTGTCGCCCCGAGAGGAGCCGCGCGAAGGTCACCCCGCGCCCGCCGCCCGCCGCCCGCCGCCTCCGTGGGTCCGTTTGCCAGTCAGCCCGTGCGTCCGAGCCCCTCGCGCCCCGCCGCAGCCCCGGCCAACCGAGCGCCATGAACCAGATAGAGCCCGGCGTGCAGTACAACTACGTGTACGACGAGGATGAGTACATGATCCAGGAGGAGGAGTGGGACCGCGACCTGCTCCTGGACCCAGCCTGGGAGAAGCAGCAGAGGAAGGTCAGCAGGGGCCCGCGGGCCGCCCGCGCGTGGTGGGGCCGGGTCCCCCGCGGGGCTCCCGTGCGCGTGGCCGCGTGGCCTGGCGACTGGCGAGAGGGCGCTTTGTGGAGGTGCTGTGCTGTCCTGTGCCCTCGCAGCCCCGGGGGCCCCTTAGGAAAGAGGACACGTCCGGGGACAGGCAGGACACTGGGCGTCGTGTGTGTGCGCGCGCGCTAGCAGCATCGGAGGTACAGATGTGGTTCTGTTCCTCACACCAACCCGCGTTAGACCAGATCTGAAGGGGTCTCTGGTCTGCTCCTGACCCCTTGAGTCTGTGACCTTGGCCCCCGAGTTATACTCTCCTGGCCCGCTTGTGTCCATTTACCCCAGCCTCTCTCTTCCCCATTGAAAGAAGCAAAAGAACATCAGCTTCATTGCAATTTCCACCGGGCTGCCCCTAGAGTCATGGAAAGTCATTTATTCAATCTTTTGGGTTCCTTGGAGAGGGATGTTGTATGAACACTAGACATTTACCGATAGTGACAATTATTTCACACTCTATTTATAATTCATTGAGGTAAGCACACAGGGACGAAGGAGTCAGCCAGCTTCTAAAAGCTCCCTCCCCATTTTGATTGGCGTTCTCTGGGGGCCCAGTGGAACATTCCACTTTTTCAAGGTTTCCTCTTGATCCTCTTGGCTGGAATAAATAGGGAATGCTCACCAGGAGGCTTAATCCCGCCTCTTACTTGACTAGGCAGGGAGCCTGGTTGGGTCAGACATGACAACAGAGACCTGCCAACCCAACCTTAAGATAACGGGGTTATGGCAAAAGCCAAACGCTCTGAACTTTTTTCCGCCTATTTTTCTGGGCGTGGGGCAAGATAGATTTCCCTTCTAAGGACCTGCTTTAGGTGGATAGCCTGTGGTGACCATAGTGTGTATGGGAATCTCTGTATAATGGGTACTGTAGCTGATTGTGCGATAGTATTTGGTGAATAGGGGTATGATGGTGGAGAACACACATCCCAAACTCCTCTCGCAGCAAACAGCGTTAGCTGGAAGGAGAGATGATTATCAAATAACCAAGCACTATTTTTATATCAGGATGTCTCTTGTCTACCCTCTCTCCTAAAATACCATTTACTATTATTATTTTAAAGCTCTAATTTAGCTACATTTCAGTCTCTCCCCGAGTTTCTTAAGGCTTTTACCATCCCTACCTTTCTTAGAAAATGGGAGTAATAAATAGAAAAAAACAAAACTTCAAGCCGTCTACTATTGTTTAAAGGACTGATTGTGAAGGAAGTACGAGGCATGAGGATTACTAATGTGTCATCTGGACCAGCTGATGCATCATCCATCAGCACGAAGTTAAAAAGTGACTTTAATTTTTAGCAGTGAGTGTTTTTTTTTAAAAGAATTTCCCCAAATTTTGATTACTGCACTTTTCATGGATTAAAAAAAAAGATAACTCCCGGGTCTTTGTTTTAAAAATTGCTTTCTTATGAGGAATTGTAAAATAGCTAAGGAATTGGACAGGTAGTCTGCCCATCATTTTTGAAAGTGATGGTCTAATCACAGTGCTTTCTGTTGCCTTTTTTTTTTTTAAGTACAGTACAGTAGCAGGATAGAGGTAATGACAGTTTCCAGAGGCCACATTGACATCCCTTCTGCCATATTTAATCTTTTAACTTATTTGCAGTATTTTTGGATATATGGCTTCGAATTCTTTTAGGTTTGGGATTCCTATGTTGACTGTATTATTATAATTGCATAGCACTTGAAGTAAAGTTGATTATTTAAAAATAACATACTTCCTGATCCCAGTCCAAAATAATGTTAGAAAGTTTAAGGTGAGAATTTTTTTTAAGATAGTTTGAATGTTGTACATGCTTGGGGGGCAAAAACTACATTAGGAGAGATCTAGAAGATTCTCTATTTCTACTTTTGGTATAGACCCTGCTCAAGTCAGTAAAATAATATTGAACTGTGAGCTCAGTGTGGCCAGAGCAGTGGCCTCTATTTATGTCCCATGAGACAAACTGCTGGAACCGGACAAGGGTAAAATACCATTGTTTCTATTGTGGGCTGCCTTCTCCACACTTGCCATTTCAGTGATATGCTGGGTATGAGATCTGTCAACAGATGCTGGTAGCACATGATGACGTCCGTGGCGTTATAATGGATGTGATGCCTAATTATATCTACAGTTCAGAGAGTCTCATGGGCTATGGTAATCCTTGCTCTGTGGTGTGGAAGGAAAGCCTTGCTGTAGAAGGACTTTATAAAAGTGTAATGAGTTTTATAAGAGAAGGGAATGCAGAAGATAGTGGGTTTAGCATGAGTGCGAATAGGCGTTTCAACGTGTCTACCTTCTCTTTCAAGAGTGTGTTAGGAAGAGTGTGTTACACAGAAGAGTGTGTTAATAGGGTTAGGAATATTTATATTTTCTATAAAGAAGTATTTTAATTCATACAACTCAAGGGTAGAAGAAAAATGCCTGCAGTATTACAGATGTGATATATATATATATATATATATATATATATATATATATACACACACATATGTATATTTTATATATATATATAAAATATGTAATGTTTAGAGACAGGATTTTTCTCTGTTGCCCAGGCTGGAGTACAGTGGCATGATAATAGCTCACTGTAGCCTTGACCTCCTGGGCTCAAGTGACCTCCATGACGTCAAGGCATGCACCACCACACATGGCTAATTTTTTTATTTTAAAAACTTTTTTTGTAGAGACAGGGTCTCACTGTGTTGCCCAGGCTGGTCTTGAACTCCTGGCCATTCTCCCACCTTGGCTTCTTAAAGTGCTGATACTAAGGATATGAGCCACGATGCTCAGCCCCAGATACAATATTTTAAGACACTGAAATGCTGAGACACACTCTTGGAGTTAGAATGTTCTACCATATAGAACACAGTTTAGGGATATCAATTTCTAAGTAAATTGGGACCTCTTCAGTGGACTGTTGAAACTTTTAGAGTGTTGGTGTCTAGAAGTAAACATCTCCTGGAACCAAGGAACACATAGAGCTTGTACCTCAACTGAAGCCTAATTGGGAGGTGACTTGTCAGAGCAGCAATGCTGAATATGTTTGCTATCTTCACAAGCTCAGGACGCTGTCCTTAACTGTACTGGGAGGCTAGAGCAGACCTTTTAAGGACACGAAATATGTGTCGATACGTAAAGGGTCCTTATGTCCATAATCAGTCCGTGGCTTGATGATAGATAAACTTTTCTAAGTGTTCTGATTGTTTTTAATAGTCCCTAAAGAAATTCAGATTCTTCTGTACTCTTCACAGTTGAGATGGCTGGATTCACCTTGGAGCACCTCCTGTCAGTCTGGCATTTAGGCAAATGTGTTGCCATGTTGGGTCAGGCAGCCTGGCAGGATGCGTGTACAGAGGCAGCCGCCCACAGGGTTCGGATTAAATAGAGAGCCTGGGAGCCTTCGAGTTGCCCCTGCCCTTGTTCTGTGGGCAGCAGCTGCTGATTTAGAGCACAAGGTGAAGGCTCTTCCTGCCTAATGACACATACTCTTGCATAAATTTTTCCTAGGAGAAAAGGCACTAATTGTTTGTTCCAATGATTAACAGAAAGCTTGTGACATTTCTCAGATTCATGAGACCCAGATGAGTCGAAGCTCTGCCTGGTACCCGACTACAGTTGAATCACTAAATGTTTCAAGTCTCAATTTCTTCACCTAGAAAATGAAGATAAATACCTGTCTTTCTTAACTCACAGGGTTTTTTGTCTGGATCAAATGGTTAAACTGTTTTATGGTGAAGCGGCTTTATACATTGTAAAGTGATCTGTAAATGTTCAAATATTATTATCCTTGTGCGCCGAATATTTGTTAATCAGCACTGCGCTTAGACTTGTGAGGGACTTGTGAGCATGAGATTTGGCCCTTGGTGACCTTGATGTACTTTGAAAATTGTGGGGAAATACACATAACAGAAAATGTATCATTTTAATCATAAGTGTACAATTCAGTGGTGGTACGTCTATTCACATTGTTGTACAACCATCACCACTCTGTGTCTCCAGAACTTTTCTATCATCTCACATTGAAACTCTGTACCCATTAAAAACTAGCTTCCCATTCCCCCCTCCTCGGGTGTACTTTTTTTTTTTTTTTTTTTTGAGACGGAGTCTTGCTCTGTCGCCCAGGCTGGAGTGCAGTGGTGTGATCTCAGCTCACTGCAGTCTCCGTCTCCCGGGTTCAAGCAATTCTCCTGCCTCAGCCTTACAGTAGCTGGAATTACAGGTGCTGGGTAGCTAGGATTACAGCTGGCTAATTTTTGTATTTTTAGTAGAGACGGGATTTCACTGTGTTAGCCAGGATGGTCTCCCATCTCCTGACCTTGTGATCTGCCCACCTCGGCCTCCCAAAGTGCTGGGATTACAGGCGTGAGCCACTGCACCCAGCCTGGCGTACTTTTAAAGATAGGATTTATATACTGGAACACTTGGAACATAAGAAATTGTTTAATAATAAGTGCATATTTAACAAGAAATTGTTTAATAATAAGTGCAAGAATAAAAGTTAGCCGGGTGCAGTGGCTCATGCCTGTAATCCCAGCACTTTGAGAGGCCAAGGTAGGAAGATTGCTTGAGCCCAGGAGTTTGAGACTGGCCTGGGCAACACAGCAAGACCCCGTCTTTGCAAAAAAAATAAAAAATTTAGCCAGGTGTGGTGGTGCACAGCTGTAATCCTACCTACTTGGGAGGGTGAGGCCAGAGGATCATTTGAGCCCAGGAGTTTGAGGTTGCCGTGAGCTGTGATCGTGCCGCTGCACTCCAGCCTGGGCAACAGAGCAAGACCCCATCTCAAAAAATAAAAAAATAATAAGTGTAGTATAATAAGTGTTTACCTTTGACACTATCAAAGCCCTTTTACATCCCTTCACTCACCCTTTCATCAAGAGATGGGAGAAGTTCAAAGGTAAGAGTATAGAAGGAGAAAGTAACCAAGGTGGCTAGACCAGGACTCAGGTCTCCCAAAGCCTAGCTCTGTATCGGATATGTCTGTGGCTCATGGTGTGTTTGTGCACGTGTGATAGGGAGATAATACCCGATGCTAAAGATGCATATTCAAACTTAGAAAGTTGGATCCACGAAAAAGGGCCAGGTTATAGAGGGCCTGGGATGCTAAGGTGAGTGCAGACTTCATTCTCCAAGACATGCAGAGCTCCAGAGGTTTTTTGAGCTGGGAAGACCCATGCTTACAGAACTAGTATTGTTGGTGAGATAAATCTGAGTGGACAAGGGCCTGAGGCTGGGGGACCCAGGCAAAAGCCTGTTATGGGACCATCCAGATAAAGTGGTGAGGATTAGAACAAGGGGGCTGTTAGAAGCAGTGGTGAGGAAGGCATCAATTTGAGAGTGATCAGGAGGGATTATACGAAGTATTAAATAACCACATGTTGTTCCACAGTAGGCTGTGGTATAAATCCAATTAAGTAGATATGATCCTCCCCATTAGAGCTCCTGGGCTTTAATGTCAAGACAGTGGTATTGACAAGCAACAACCAAACTAATGAGGAGAGTCTGTTTATCCACTGGGAGATTGTGTCTGGATAAGAAGTTAAGTATTTACAGGATGTGTCATTATTCTGTGCAGGGAAAGGAGCCACCGTGCTGAGGTGGCAAATCCGGTGTCCATGTGGCCATTGCTGGGAGGGAGAGGTGGAATTGTAGATAGTCTTTGAGAGCCAGAGAAAGTTCTTAATGGGCAGAAGTGTCAAAGAAGAGGTTAAAGGCAGGGTCTTGTGTGGGCACTAAGAAACCTCTGCACCCAGAGGGACTGTAATAAATATACATGTGGTTTGCTACGGAGAATCACAGGTGCAGGAGTTCTGAGGCACAAAAAACACTCTTTGCTTTTACATCCTATTTGGGACACCGTGATGTGTCCCGGGGTTGCCCTAGGCCTTCAGCCACATTCACCAGGTAAGAAACTTAAGCCCATTATAAGATTTTCCAGAGTGTGGGAGGAGGAATATAACTCTTAGCAGGGAAACTTAATTAACGCAGCCTCAGAAAACTGTCAGAAAGCACCGCAGTCGGTTGCTGCAGCTGGGAGACACCTACAGAAAAGGCGCAGTTCTGGAGTGGGTGAGGGTGCTACCATGATGAGCAGAGGAGTTCACACGGAATGCGTTGGAGGACAGTCAGAATCCTACCGCCGTTTCCCTGGGAACGGCACTAAGTCTTCCAGAAAGAACAGAAAGCAGAGATTGGGGGAGACGCTTGCAAACTACTATGCTAGACAAATTTCAAAGGAAGGAAAACCTTAAGTGCAAGAATTTGGCCTTTCTGAAGAAGACTGAGGAAAATTTTTGGTACAAACATCTGCACACATGCACACACACACACACACACACACACACACACACACACAGAGTTTTCTAGATTGGAAACTACAAGGTGTTTTTACCTGCAACCCTGGTGAGGAGCAAAATATAAATGGAACACAAGCATGATGGTTCATTCTTTCATTCATTTGGCAAACATTTTTGTAGTCCTAGGGACCAGCAGAGAGAGTTGATGACACCACCATGGCCCTTAAGGAGCTTACAGCCAAGTTCAAGAGACAGGAGTGGTCTGTGAGAAGCACAGAGGAGGGGCATCTGCTTCAGCCAGGCTGGTGTAAGGAAGGTGTTTTCAAAGCCAAAGGTGTTTCAAACCCTCCTGCTTGGTTCCCCTTCATGGTGAATGGAAATGTCTTTCTTCCAGGCGCCCAAGCCAGAAACCCGAGTGTTACCCTTGCCCCCTCCTCCTCTCCCACACCACGGCCGTTGGGTCACCACCTCCCGTGGAGTCCTCTGGACCCTGCCTCTTCCCCTCCCTGTGTGCTCCAAGGCCTTCA
Organism: Homo sapiens; assembly: GCF_000001405.40. NCBI lineage: Eukaryota > Metazoa > Chordata > Mammalia > Primates > Hominidae > Homo > Homo sapiens. Next base: position 236,693,684 of record NC_000001.11, read on the forward strand.
GGCTTTCCACCTTCCCTGCGGAGATGAGGGTGGTGGCCTCCCTTTTTGTCACCCTTCCAAGGGTCATGCTCGTCTGCTGGCTTTTCTCCAAGATGCTGCCAAAAATGATCTTAATAAGACACAAGCCTGGTTGTGATATTTTCCTGATTCAAGTGTCTCTGTGGTTCTTGGTTGCCTTCAGGAGAGAGTTCAAGCCTCTTATGGTGGTTTGTGAGGCCAGGCCTGAACTAGCCCCATCGTCTGTTCATTCACCACCCCAGTATCCCTGCTGCAGGTTTTTAAAGATCTCATGTCCCTGATTGCCTGTCACTGTGTCTGACTCGAGCCCTTGTCTCTTCCATAGACCCTCCCTCCTCCACCTATCTTAGTAGTACCTCCTTCTGCAGCTGCTTTACTGAGAGGTCTGCCTTCTAGAGCAGGGGTCACCTGATGCTCTGTCTCCCCAACAAGGGCTATGAGCAGTAGCTCTTCTCTGTAGGTCCCTGTGCCTCATTGGACTCACACAGAGTCTGCACTGACATTTTTTTTTTTCTTTTCTTTTTTTTTTTTTTTTGAGACGGAGTTTCACTGTCGTTGCCCGGGCTGGAGTGCAATGGCACAATCTCGGCGGCTAACCACAACCTCCGCCTCCCAGGTTCAGGTGATTCTCTTGCCTCAGCCTCCTGAGTAGCTGGGATTACAGGCATTTGCCACCACGCCCGGCTAATTTTTTTATTTTTAGTAGAGACGGGGTTTCTCCATGTTGATCAGGCTGGTCTTGAACTCCAGACTTCAAGTGATCCACCCGCCTCGACCTCACAAAGTGCTGGGATTACAGGTGTGAGCCACCACGCCTGGCCCGCACTGACATTTATTGAATGAAGAAATTATGAATCATTTCTAAGAAACGTTTAGTACAATTACTTTTTAAATTAAAAAAACTTTCATTTTAACAATTAACATCTTTTTTGGCAGTCTTTATGACTTTTTGAGCTCTGAATGTGTTAACTCCCAACTCATACTCATTTAATGCTTTTTAAAAATGTTCTCTTGAAGTATTTTCTCAGGTCCCCGAAAAGAGTTCCCTGACTTGATTTTTATTGTAAGTCTGAGCTGTCGAGGCCGGGTGTGGTGGCTCATGCCCATATTCCCAGCACTTTGGGAGGCTGAGGCAAGGCTGTCTCTTGAGGCTAGGAGTTAGAGAGTGTCCTGGGCAACATAGAGAGACCTTGTCTCTACAAAAAAAATTTAAAAATTAGCCGGTATGGTGGCGTGTGCTTGTAGTTTTAGCTACTTGGGAGGCTGAAGTGAGAGGATTGCTTGAGCTCAGAAGTTTGAGGCTGCAGTGAGCTATGATGGCACCACTGCACTCCCGCTCTGGGTGACAGAGTGAGAAATAAGCTTTTCGTTAAAAAATGTTCAGGCCGGGCACAGTGTCTCATGCCTGTAATCCCAGCCCTTTGGGAGGCTGAGGCAGGTGAATCAGATGAGGCCAGGAGTTTGAGACCAGCCTGGCCAACACGGCGAAACCCAGTCTCTACTAAAAATACAAAAAAAAAAAAAAAATTAGCTGGGTATGGTGATGTCTGCCCATAATCCCAGCCACTTGGGAGGCTGAGGCATGAAAATCACTTGAACCTGGGAGGCGGCGGCTGCTGTGAGCCAAGATCATGCCACTGCACCCCAGCATGGGAGACAGAGTGAGACTGTCTCAAAAAAAAAAAAAAAAAGTTAAGAGATGTGCTGTGTCTGAAAAAAAAAAAAAAGAACATCAATAATTGGAATTTAGAGCTTTTAGAATTGAAAAAATAATTATACAGATTTATGTATATCATAATAAAATTTGTCACCATATTTATGAGAAAAAGTTCTGGTAACCTGAATTTGATTTGAAATGAGTTCCCCCCCCCTGCCCAGATTGAAAACCTTCACCCACTTAATAAAGAAAATTCCAAGTTCATTTATGATTCAGAGACGTATAAATTTAAATTTGTTTTTGTATAGAAAACATGGGGAAATTTTTTTGAAGATGCAGTGTGCTTCACAGTGCTGGAATTGGAAAATGGAGACAAGATTGCAGGTGATTCTGTGGTCCTGGGAAAGAACTGGCATATGCAGTCTTCATACATGCCAAGCCCTAGACCAAGAAGTTGGCATAACTTTGATTTGTCTTATTTGTTTTTGCTAGGGGGTAAATGTGTTGGTCATAGTCTTTAGAAATTATTATACACTGAAAACAGATTCTTATTAGTATCCATTACAACCTTTTCATAAAAAGCCATGCTATCTTAGAAAAGACCTATATTTTATTAGTGAATGTGAGAACCAAATGTACAAATAGGTGAATATGAGATTGTTTTGGGGCCAGGCGCAGAGGCTTAAGCCTGTAATCCCAGCACTTTGGGAGGCCGAGGCAGGCAGATCACATCAGGTCAGGAGTTCGAGACCAGCCTGGCCAACATGGTGAAACCCCATCTCTATTAAAAATCCAAAAATTAGCCAGGTGTGGTGGTATGCGCCTGTAATCCCAGCTACTCGGGAGGCTGAGGCAGGAGACTCATTGGAATTGGAGTGAGTGAGCTGCACTCACAGCTGGAGCGCAGTGAGATCGTGTCACTGCACTCCAGCTTCGGTGACAGAAGAAGACTCTGTCTCAAAAAAAAAAAAAAAAGATTGTTTTGGGGGAATGGGAGCAGTATTTAATATGAAGCTATGATTGAGTTTTGCAAAGGTAGTTATAATTGAGATTGCAAAGACAAATCAAGAAATCCTATCTTCTAAAGTCATGTGGAGTCTTTAAGTTATTTTGTTATAGTCAAACAAGATGTGAAGATGACAATTAACTTTTAGAAGGTAGGTAATCTCATTGCTGTTTATGAGGATTTTAAGATAATTTATATGTAAGATAGAACGATATGAAATACTTGATGCTGACCATTTTGACCTCCAAAAATTACAGTCTCTTTATTTCAACCCAAACAACTTTACTGCTGTTGTCCCACTATTTTTTTTTTTTTTTTTTGAGATGGAGTCTTGCTCTGTCGCCAGGCTGGAGTGCAGTGGCGCAATCTCGGCTCACTGCAACCTCCGCCTCCCGGGTTCAAGCGATTCTCCTACCTCAGCCTCCTGAGTAGCTGAGACTACAGGCGTGCGCCACCACGCCCAGCTAATTTTTGTATTTCTAGTAGAGATGGGGTTTCACCATGTTAGCCAGGATGGTCTCGATCTCGACCTCGTGATCCGTCCACCTTGGCCTCCCAAAGTGCTGGGATTACAGGCATGAGCCACCGTGCCCGGCCATTGTTGTCCCACTATATTTGATGCCCTTGACCAATACCACAAAATAGCCAGGCTGTAAAACTGAATTCTAATCATTTCTAGCCTTATCTCTAATGTCTTTGGTATTCATTTGTAAAAGTAAAGGGGCTCTTGAGTTTTGTAGAAGTTAAAAATGTGGGATTTGAAGCCAGGTACAGCAACCTGGTGAAACCCTATCTCTACAAAAATACATAAGTCAGCCAGGTGTGTTGGTGTGTGCCTGTATGCCCAGCTACTCAGGAGGCTGAGGCAGGAGGATGGCTTGAGCTGGGGAGGTTGAGGCTGCAGTGAGCCATGATTACATCATTGTATTCCAGCCTGGGCAACAGAGCAAGACCCTGTCTCAAAAAAAATATGGGGAATTTGGATTGAGGGCTTGATATCCAATGGATAAAAGAGAAAAGTCAAGGCTGGAGATTTAGGTACGGAAGTTATCTACATATGCAATGGCTGCAACTCTGAGGGGATAGGTGGAAGAGGATCTACCCAGAAGGCACTAAAGTGAGCTAAGACTAGAGGACTCCTAGAGGAAGCAATGTTGGGAACTGAACATGGAAGTCTTGCTTTTCTGGATGAAAACATCATGTATTAGACAACTTGGAACCATCTGAACTGTCAAGATGTCTTTGATTTTCTTTCTGGAGAAATCTCACCTTGGTATTCTATTGGAACTTTGCCAGTTGGCTTGAATCTGGCATTGAAGTTGGTTTAGTTACTGGAACAGAAACCAAAGCTTTGGTGCTGTGGAATGCAATATCTTTTAGCTCACGAAACAAGTTCTTTTTTTTTTTTTTTTTTGGAGACAGAGTCTTTTACTCTGTCACCCAGGCTAGAGTGCAATGGCACGATCTTGGCTCAATGCAACTTTCGCCTCCCAGGTTCAAGCCTCCTGCCTCAGCCTCCTGAACAGCTGGGATTACAGGCACCTGCCATCATGCCTGGCTAATTTTCGTATTTTTTTTTTTTTTTTTTTAGCAGAGACAAGGTTTCACCATGTTCATCAGGCTGGTCTTGAGCTCCTGACCTCAGGTGATCCACCTGCCGTGGCCTCCCAAAGTGCTGGGATTACAGGCGTGAGCCACCGCACCCGACCCAGACAAGTTATATTTTCAAAGGAAGCAAAAAACTATGAATTTACTTACGGTGGTGTGCTCAAGTCTGTGACATAAAATTCTTCTGCACTCAGAATGGTCATTGATAGGCTTTGCTAAAGAAGGCTTTATTGAACATTTGTAAGATGCCTTAAAAAAAAAAAACATGATGTAGAATTAAACTCCAAGATAGGACTTCCTTTTTCAGTTGTATCATTTATAGAATTAAGGAAATGAATTATTGTTCTCATTTAGATGTTTTGTTTTAAGGTTTTAAAACATATTGTAGATGTTTTGGGTGTCAGAAAGAACAGTCATGAAAATCGTAAAAGCCATATAGAAAACCGTAATCCACTTAGAGATTATGTGTAGAGGGCAATATTTTTCTGTTTTGAAACAAACACATTTTTGAGGGGAGGCAGGTATTCAGGTGGTCAGATTAGAAAAATACAAACCATGCGTTTTGTGTTTTATAGACTGTAATATTTCCATTCTGTTATTGTAATTTTATGAAATATAAGGTGGCTGATTATTTTATTGCATATTTGGCCTTTCATGTTAGAATTTGGAGCAGAGGATGTTGTAATTTTTTTCAGTCTAACACTAAAGCCAAAAAATATTCCGATCAGACAGTAAAAGTGATAATATGTGGATTTTTACCAGTGAATTGAAAAATGAGAGATTTTCACATATTATTCCTAGTATCCCAAATGATTTGCTGAAGAAGACAGAGAAACAACTATTATTGAGAAATTCCAGGCACTGTTTTAACCTTATGTATGATTTTACTGGATCTTCACAACCATCTTGAAAGGTGAATATTATCTTCATTATTTTAGCTAGGCTCAAGTTAAGTGAGTTGCCCAGCAGTGGTTGAGGGTGGGGAAGTGGTAGCCGGAAAATGCACACAGAATTTTGTCTAATGTATGTAGAAATAGTTCTCTCCTATAATTGAAATTTTATAAATATGGAGATACTAATTATTTTATTGCATATTTTTGGTCTGAAAGTGGTAGAGCTGGATTTCAGATCCAGGCTGCTTAACTGTAAGGGTCTTGATTTTTATCACTAAACTTTATCTGTTTTTGTTGCTTTCTGCTCGGATTTGTAACCAACCCAGAGCAGAAGCCTGGGATTCAGTATTTCTGATTTTCCACTTACAAACCTCCTACCTTTGTGGAAGGGCATATGTGTGTGTGTGAATTTTTTAATTTCTAAACTGGTGCAACTGGGAATGTCTGATAACAGTGAGAAAACGGAATTTTGAGGCATGGTCCATATTGTCATTCCAAGATTTTCCCCCAGTCAAGCTTTAGGAGTTGCATTGTCCAACAGAAATACCAAAGTGGGAGGGAAGGGGCCACAGGAGAAGTCAGCTAAACTTCTTGAGAGTTTTAGGGGCCGTCCCATGAAGGGCACATTATCGGAGTGAATGCTGATATGTCTGACGCACTTCCAAAAGAAGCCCGGATGCCTGAGACACTGAGTCAACTCCCTTTTGGAACTAGAAAATGAGACTTTCAGAGGCAGGAGCATAGATTAGAGTTATCCTCCTACGGGTGCCGTGTCTTTATCTACAGGAATGCCCTCTCAGATCAGAGCTCCACAGGGACTGAGCCTAGCATCTTTTGAAATGGCAGTACTGAGAACTCACTTTGCAATTTAAAAAAATCCTGTTTATTTAAAGTTTTATTATGGGAAATTTTAATCATACCCCAAAGCAGAGAGAATATAATGAATCTCTCCGTATCCAGTAGGCCAAGGAAAAACCAAGCTTCATGAATAGGTGATGACTAAAAGGAAAATAAGTTTGAATGGTTAATAAAAACTTTGCTATGAAAGAAACTGGCATGAAGTAAAACTGTGAAGTAGGCTAATGAGTACTGCTTGTTGCTTTACCCTGTTTCAAAATCCTCTTTCCCAAGGCCCCCTACTTCCCACAGCTGCCTCTGGCCACCTAGGTCTGCTTCACCTGTACACCACCCCCAGACCCCACATTCTCCTTATGATTTTTCATGCACTTACTGTCATCATTTTCTATGCCTAAAAATGAAAGATTCCCAAGACCTGCCTTTCTAGGGATCACTGATATTTTTATTTTATTATTTTATTTTATTTATCTTATTTTTGAGACGGAGTCTCTCTCTATAGCCCAGACTGGAGTGCAGTGGCACCATCTCGGCTCACTGCAACTTCTGCCTCCCGGGTTCAAGCCATTCTCCTGCCTCAGCCTCCCGAGTAGCTGGGATTACAGGCATGCACCACCACACCCAGCTAATTGTCACTGATATTTTTAGAGGTGACTTTTCTGAGGCAATAACCCTGTTGTCTAATTCCAGTGAATTTCAGGCTCAGCGGAAGATGGGGAGGCCTGTATATGTGGGTGGCTTACCACAGTGCCCAGGTATGAAGTCAGTACTGGTAGTACATTTACTGTGTGTGAGGCACAGCCCTCTCCTCGTACTGCACCCTGATCTTATAAACTGACCCTCATCCCTATCAGGTTTATTGAGATGAGTCCTCCCTTAGCTCCACTGACCATTGCTGTTACTGCTTCGAGTGATAAGCCTGACTTTGAGACAGGAGGTGGGAACAATGTCTGAGGATGCTGAATTTGATACTTCTGCTTCTGTATTTCCTCCACCACCCCCGGAATACAGCCAGAGGAAGGAGCAGAACAGACATTGAAAAGGTTCTTCGGGAAAGGTTATTTTTAGGGGCCGTCTTGCCAAGACTGCTTCCGGGGAATTTATTTAGACACAGCAGGCCCCTGCCCTGTTAAAGATGTGAATTCCCACATATCTGGGAATGTTCTGGGTAGCCTCAGAAAAGTGCTGGGGGGCCTTTCATTTTAACCCTGAAAGATGAGAGATGGTGTGAGGAGCAGCACAGTAGCCGGTGACCTTGGGCAAGTCACTTCATCTGTCAGGGCCTCTGTTCCTTATGAAATGAACTGACACCAAGGTGGCTGGAGTAATTTCAGAGGTGGGGTGACCCTATCTCCAGGTTTGTCCGGGACAATCCCAGTTTGTGGCTTTTGTCCCAGAGGAATTATAAATAGCACCTCCTTTGACTCTCAGAAGTGGCCCAGTTTAGACTACAAACTTTGGTCTCCCTGTTCTGAGGACATACACAGGCAGCCTCATGGAAGGTTAAACTCATATTGACACCCAAGTGACTTTTTTTTTCCCCCAAGTAATTTGTACATAGGGTAGTAATGCCTTTTCTGAAAGTGCTGGCCTGTTTCTGGAACTTTAAAAATGGAAACATTGGTGAAGTGAGATTTTTAATACTTTGAGATATATGTATATATATCTCATATATAGTCTAGTAATTCTGAATCTTTTAATTCATAAATCTTTTAGAAGACCAAGCTTTGTAGAACACCGTGAAAGTGAGCCCTGTGACTGGAGGGCTGTGGGGCCACCAGCCCGGCTGAGTCCTCCTGCGGGCCAGGTTGCCCTCTGAAACGGGGTTGACTGTTATACTTTTGGTTTTGTATTATATGCTATGTATATGGTTTTATAAATGTCATTTATACTTACACTTTAGACAATTTGATGTTAATATGGGCCAGGCATTAATGACACTTATTTTACACATCTGCAAAATGAAGAGTTAAACCTTATTTAAAGATCTGGACCAGTTACCAAAGTCCTGTCTGTAGATTTGCTCTTTTGACAGTATGTCTTTTCTGAAAATTATAAGAATTTATTTCTATGTTCAGGCACTTGAAAATCTAGCAGTGAAATGGTGACAAATGTATTTACTGTGTGATAAATCATGTTGAATAGAACAAGTTCCCTCATTTCTATAATGAGACACAGGTAGGGCTGTCACCATGGAGGCCTTTAAGAACTTGGTAGGGAAGCAGGAAAAATCATGTCAGAAATGCCTGATGTGTGACGGTGAGTTCTATTGCTGTAACTGGTATCTGCGTAACTGGATATTAAGGACTCTAAAGGATTTCTATTCTGCAGTCCTAGGATAGGGCAGTCTGTACCCTTTCCAGTAGGATTTTAAAATGTGATATCAAAACAGGGATTTGAATGTGAAGCTGTAAAAAAAGTCTTGAAGTAGCGCTTCATTGAGCAAAATTAACTTCAGAACGCTAGGATTGCTGGATTGGATCCAAGTTAAGTCGTTTTTTTCCCCCTCCATTAGGAATATGGACGATTAATGAAGTAAAGCTAGCCGACATCATTACAGACAACTAGGGAAGGGCAAAGAAAATAACTTAGAAATCTAGGCTAATGAATGTTTATGCTCTCCTGAATTATTGTTTAAAGATATGTATTTAAATAATTGCGTAAGAAATACCTGTTTATTGTAGAATATTTAGGAAATATTACATTTTAAAATTAGAAGTTTTTAAATATTAAAAAAGTCACAACCTGGAGAAAACAAGTGTGTACATTTTGCCGAGTGCCTACTAGCTCACTTTATGCTATAGTCTAGAAGCATCTATTTATGTATTTTATACTCTAATATGCTATGGTCTGAAATGGCTCCAGATGTAAAGACTTTATTACCCATTTTCCTGAATACCAGTCAGCAGGAGCCCTGGGGAAGAACTCTTGGAGGAGGAAATCCCAGCTTGATTCCCTCCGGTGTGGAGTTGGCAGGAACATTGGAAATGCCCAGCTTCTCTGTTTTTATTGCATATGTTAATCAGAGTTTTCCCCATATGTAGGGGAAAGCTATAGCTGTACCTGACTGTGGGCTGTTCCTTACTTAGAATTGTTCTCTGGTCTGGGACAGCAATGCAGAGAATATGGTGTATTACAGAGAGCTGTTTCATTCTAAATGAATGCTTGCATCTCTGTGTGTAGGCAGCCATTTATTTGGGTCCCTGAAAATAGTAGCAGTATGGTGAACTTAAATTAAAGAATATTTATTTTGCTGTCTGTGTAGTACAAGCTGCTTCCCCAGTTGCCGGATGGGTTGAGAGGAGAATCATCAGTGTGCTTTTCTTTTAGCTTGAATTCATCCCTAAGAAGAGAATGAGGAAAGTACAATAAATGCTGCTGCTGCTGCCTAAAACTGAGCAACAGTTGGGTCTGCCCTGTCACAGAGCCACATCTTGCACGTAATTACCCAGGCTCCAAGGGAACAAGTTATTTTGAGAAGCATAGCTCAGGATCAATCAGATGTAAGGCTGTTTGTTGGGAGCCTTAATATGGTTACTTACCAGAAAGTCCTCAAAGGAATTCTCCACGTAGTTTGTGCCAGCCTGGGGGAGGCAGGTGTGACCCCACACAACATTCAGCTAGTGGCTAAGTCAGGCTCCTGGCTTAGAAAATCTTGAAGCTCAAATGACCAGGCACCAATAGCTTTCATGCGTTCCTTTGGGCCTACTACCTTTTTTTTTTTTTTTTTTTTTTTTGCCTTTTAGAGCAAACATGTCTTAGACTTTGATTCTAAAGATAATTTGATTTGGTTAGTTTAACATATGCTTCTAGCCCTAAAATAGTTTGGGAAGAATCTTCATATTTCTAGTCTTAACTCTTGAATTTAACAGTTAAAAGGTGGGGGAAGGGTTTCATCAGGATCATTTGCTAACCCTCATTTAGGAGAGATAATGCTCTATCTTTTTTTTTTTTTAATAATTAAAATCTTCCTTCAAGAATTTTAAAACGCCCTTGGAATTAATGTAGAGCTAGATTGAATTGCAAACTAGCTTCAGGAATCCACAGCTCCGAATGTTTGGTGACCTTGTTATGTTGCTTCACTCTAATTTGAGGATTAAAGACAGGTAGAGATAAGTAATTGCAGCTGAAAAATCAGAATTAGGAGACTGAGTATTAAGGACTCCTGCAAATGGTAATAAAATGTTTGTAGGAAATTTTCTTAAGCAGGAAGGAAATTAACAGATGGAAATACTTTAGCTTCTTGATAAATGTAAGATCTTTATGAAATAGGAAAAATGCTAAATAATTCAACCCAAATTTAGTATTATTTATGGTGATCAGGATAAGAGGGAACATGAGGATGCATACGGAGTTTTAAATGTAGAATTTGACGTGGAAAAGGAACTGCCTCAAGCTTCAACTTAAGACAGTCGTTAGTTTCACAGGACAAGGGAAGCGTACTGTAATTTGAGATCAACATATGATGGACTTCAGTTCTGTGTATCATTCCTGTGTATTAATCACTCTCTGTCTTCATGGAAGTTGAGTGTGGAAAAAACTCAAACTGTGTTTTCTCTTCTCACACCACAACAGTCAACCCAGAAGACTTCTGTGACCAAATGTGTGTGGTCTCCTCCCACTTTCCGCCACCCTGTACACCAAGCAGGCAATCTGTACACCAGCTGGGTGTACTCCAGTGTATTTGATTCTGACACTGTCCGTTTGGTGATAGCACCGGATCCCACAGGTTGAGGGCTCAGTCCCTCAAGACTGCCCCCCTTCAGACACCATCTCAAGTCCAGGCCTCCAGAACTAATGACCAACCAACTTAAAATTGGGGTTCTCATGCCTCTTTGGGTTTGATCAATTTGCTAGAGCAGCTCACAGAACTCAAGGAAACAGGTACGTATATTTACTGGCTTATGATATGAGAGATTTAAAAGGATACTGATGAGGAGATGCATAGGGTGAGGTATGGGGGAAAGGGGTGCATAGCTTCTATGCCCTCCCCAGCAGGTCGCCCTCCAGGAACCTCCACGTGTTCAGTTAACCTGGAAGCTCTCCAAACTCCATCCTCGTGGGCTTTTGAAGGAGACCTCACTGGATAGGCATAATTGAAGCTTGGAGAACCGTGGGGAAATGTGATTGGACAAAAAGGCTGTGATCTAATACTAATAGGCTGAGTGGGAAAATCCCCACAAGGCCTGTCTGTTCAGACTCTTCTTAGCCTGTCTGTGCAGCCTTCGTTTCTCCCAGGTTTGTGGCAGGACTCCTTCTGAAATGAGGGTCTTATGACCGACAGTCAGATAAGGTAGGTCAGATCATTGCTTTACGGCCAGCTCCAAGCCAGAAAGACAAGGGAAAATTAGAGTCCCTCCAGGGAAAGCCTGCTCCTGAGGCCTGAGCCACCCTAGCATGACAGCAAAAGACTGTAACAAGGGCTATGAGAGTTATGAGCCAAGAACAATGGATAAAACATATAAATATATACCTGTGTGTGTATAAATATATATATATAAAAAATATCACAGAAACTACTAAAATTTATATCAGAAAATGAATATTTTAGCTTATTGGAATGTGGGACTCTTCTTAGAAGAAAGACCCAGAAAGTATTAAAATACAATTCTCAAATAAAAGTAGAATCATGACTGTCATACAAATATAAAGATGAATATTTAAACATGTTCTTCAACTCATTAATGAGGAAACTGGTAAGCCGTTACAACCAGTCCAAAAGAGCATCCAAAGGGTAAGACACATTTGTGGAGCAGGAATGAAATGAATGTGCACATGGAGGGGCCCTTTTTTCTGTGGGAGGTGGAGTGTCCCTCTACTTTGATTTATTTGAATGTCTGTAGACAGAATTATTTTGCATTGCTATCAGTTGTCTGTGACCTGTAGATTTGTAGAAGAGCCTAGAAGGGCTGCTTATGGACAATGCAGAAGTTTCCCGTTGGAGCATAGATTTTTCCCTGTATAAAGTTGCCTTATCAGGCATTTCACCTTTCCAAATTCCATAGTTTCCATCCTTTCTGGAAGTTATGGGGGTGATTCCATATATCGGAGAGGTCATTCCTCAAACCAGTATTAGTCGGGGCTAGATTTGGCTTTGTTGAAAACCCTGAAAAGAGTGTTTCCTGTTATACAGTCTCAGAGCTTAGTGCCTTTCTTTCTGTATTTTGAATAGCCCATGGACTAAATGGAAATCAGTCTTGTGAGCCTGGCAGTGGAAGCCTGAAATTTGTGATGCAGAATTTGATTAAAACCAGACCTGGATAAGACAATCTTTTCAAGTGCTGGGAGAACCATCTTTAACCTCTCCACTTAAAGTGTCATCCATTAGCCTGATTCTATTTTTAGATACCCTCAGCTGTGAGGTTGCCTGTTATTTTTGCAAGGTATTTTCTTTTTTTTTTTTCTTGGCAAGATTATAGAATCTTTCTTAACATTTAAGGATTCTGTAGTTAAGTTTGACATGATAATAAGAAATTTTAAAAACCTGGAACTTGAGCAGATACACATTTTTAGCTTCTCAGGTTTCTTTTTATTAAAAAAAATGTTGACTTGTATCCTCTTTGATTGGTTCCAGAAAGTCTGACAAATGGATCTTATTCAACAAATAGTTACTGAATGCCACTGTGTTCTGGGCACTGTCCAGAGCCCAAAACAAAGATCCCTGCTTCTCTGTGTGTCACTTTCACCAGCATTTCTTAGAATGTTCAAATGGTGGTGGTCATGGGGCCTCGGAAAATGCTTGAGTTGTTTGTGAGCTTTCCTACCCTTTAATTTGAGATCATTAGATATACAATGGCATTGGGTAGAAAGAGACTCTGAATCCTGCATCCAGGCAGAGTTTGTTGGGGGAGAATCAACAGAACAGAAGGCTGCCTCTCTTTCTCTTACCTTGTCTTTGGGTATGTATCAGTGTATATTTCAGTGTCTATATCAATGTAACTGGAACTCAAGCTATTATTTTACTCATTACTTTTGATGGTAAAAACTGCAATTACTTTTGCACCAACCTAATAAAAGCAGCTTTTTGATACTGTTGAAGTTCCACTTTATTTATAACTGAGATCATCACAGTTTAAACTTGGAAGTATTGAAAACTTTAACAGGTACAAGCTCTGTGTGTGCGAATGCAGGCGCACCTGCTGGGTGCTGGGTTTTCTGAGTGATGGCAGAGGTGAATAAGGCAGGATTAGAGACTACCTTGTGTTGGGTTTTTTGATTAATAATACGTATGCATGCAGACATGTAACAGCCTGGGAAGCCGGTTGTGGGTCTTCCTTTTGCAATGGAAAGCAATGGGATTTGCCTTTTTACAAGAGTTAATTTTAAGGCTCTTTGGACATGGTGTATTATGAACCAAGTCATGATTCAAATGTCACCCATTATTTTAATTGTCCCTTAATAATAAGTTTATTTCAATTGCATGGGCAATATTTTTGCCCCCTATAGGTAAAAAAGGATGTTCTGAACACTTTCTAACCAGAGGAAATGAAGATATGTTAATGATGCTCTTTGCTCTCCAGCAGGGGTATGAATACTTGTGATGAATCTGGAAAAGATGAAGAATTGGCAGGGTTCTGGATTCTTAGATCAGAGACCTTCTTGCACCCCTTTTCTTTCTGCAGCAATATTCCATGAATTGTGCTAAGCAACAGCATGTTTTTCCTTAGTTATTGGAGGCGGAATATCTCCTATGCTCAAGTAGGCTTAAATCGTGACTATAGGCTGTCTTTATTTTTCTGAGCAATCTCGCCCTACCTGAGTAAGATTTTAGAATGATTTAATTCTCTTTCAGTTTCAACCCCACGGCACCACTCAAGTTTCTTGGAATTGCCGTCGCTGATTGCTCTTCTTTGTATTTCTATGGCACATAGAAATGTTTCCTAGTCGCTTATAATCCATCATACCTCACAGCAAACTAATTGAGTTAGATTCATAGTGCTTTTCTTTTCTTTTTTCTTTTCTTTCTTTTCTTTTCTTTTCTTTTTTTTCTTTTTTTTTTTTTTTTTTTTGAGATGGAGTCTCACTCTGTCACCCAGGCTGGAGTGCAATGGCACCATCTTGGCTCACTGCAACCTCCGCCTCCTGGGTTCAAGCGATTCTTCTGCCTCAGCCTCCCAAGTAGCTGGGACTACAGGCACAAGGCACCACGCCTGGCTAATTTTTGTATTTTTAGTAGAGATGGGGTGTCACCATATTGGCCAGGCTGGTCTCGAACTCCTAGACCTCGTGATCCACCCGCCTCGGCCTCTCAAAGTGCTGGGATTACAGGTGTGAGCCACCGCACTTGGCCATCATAATGCATTTCTTGGGGGAGGGAACAAACCACAGAGAGATGAGCTGACTTGTCCACACTAGACACTAAGCAGGTCACGAAGCCAGGGTTCAGATTTAAGGCCTGTGTTTTTTTAGGGATTGCTGGACTGAGCTGTTGCATACCATGTTATCTAACAGGACCTTGGAGACCAAGCAGAGATTCGTGGGCAGAGAATAAAAGGGCTGCTGCGTAGTTAGATGCCTAATTATGTAAGTTATGAGAACATTAAGGCCTCAAATGGACTTCCAGGACATCCTGATAATTGATTGTAGCACAAGCAAAATCCTTGGGATTAACACACTCATTTACATAATCCTTACTTTGATTAAATTTTTAAAATTTTGTGTGGATAGTTGAAAGGTGTATCTGAGTACTTGGCAACATTGAAGATTTGGAGGGATATTTTCAAAGTCATGATTATTCAGTTTTCGTTGTGCTGAGTGGTTAGTCACCAGTATGAGTGGCTTGTGGATCTAGAGAACTTCCTTGATATTAGTGTAGACTTTCTTGATTTTAATGTAGATGCCAACACTCTCTAAACGTTTTTCAAGACGGTTGAGTGTCTGAACATTTAAATGTAAGGTTGCTGCTGGTGATTCTGGGGCAGCTCATTGGTTGAGATGTTACTGCTTCCAGCGCAGTTCGTGTGATGTATGTACCTTTTGGGCCTTGCTGGCTGGGGGGATTGAGACGCTCTGTAGTGAACCAGTATGTTCTGCTCCACGCAGATTGCAGGACTTTTTGCCCTCACAGACGGTTAGGCCACCTACTCTCTATGAGGGCAGAGCCTCCTTTCTTAAGGGTAAAACGGAAATTGCATTTACTTTGGAGAGACGGCTTTGACCTTCCTCTTCCACTTTAGTCAGTGATTTTTACGACATATGCAGCTTTCCAGAGCCTCCTTACTTTTCTAATATTTAGAAAGAACCAGGAAACCGATTAGAGGTAATCTTGGCAAATTGGGAATTTGTGAAGTGGAAAAGAACACTATTAAAGTGATGGCTGTAAATAGAAAAATAAATGGAGCATTTTTAGAACAGCAGTTTAACAGAGCTGTGGTTTCCAGTAGTTTCACACGAGAGGGTGTTCAGAACCATCGTGATACAGGTAGTGTTGGCCGGCCTCTTTCTTCTCCTCTCAATAATCTTTTGAACTATTTCATAAAGCTGATCATGACAAATGACTGTATATATATATATATATATATATATATATATATATACACACACACACACACATATATATGTATATATATGTATATATGTATATATACGTATATATGTATATATATACATGTATATATATACGTGTATATATATATATACGTGTGTGTGTATATATATATATGTATGTATATCTGGGAAAGGATCAGGATGTGAAGGACAAATAATTGCATGGTGTCAGAGTCAGAAATACAATTCGAGTTCTGAGCCATGACTGCAGGCTGGACCGAGCTCTGCCTGTCCTCCATGCCCCATCTCGGGGACCACTGCCGCTGTAGCTGGGGCTTGCTTGTCCCACCCCACAGGATGCAGGTCGTGATGAGTGTTGGGGAAGGCTTGGAATTGACCAAGCAGACCTCTTGATGTCTCAGCTCCCTGAGGAAAGGAAATGATATGCAACTTCAACAGAGAACGCTCAGCAGCACCCCAGACCATTTTTCACCTGACAGACAATGCTGTCTTATAATTGGTAGGTTTAAAAGCTACATGTTCTTCAGGCCTGCTCACCCCTGAGTTTTCTGCTGTGCCTGGGTATCCCAGTCCTCAGCAGACTCTGGTTCATTTCACTCAGAAAGCCCTACGTCTGGGATGAGTTTCCATTTTAGGAAATGTGATCTGAAATGATTATTTTATGTAATTATTATTAAAGAAAAAGCTAGTTAAAGAAGTATAAAGGAAATGTATAGATATGTTGCCAAATTTTTTTTTTGGAGAAAATGGAATGATGAAGGTTGAACAGATAGTTTTACAGAAGCCAGCCCAGGCTTAGAACCGTATTGCTAAAAGAATTAATAATTCACTGATAAGTGAAATGGACTGATATTCAGGGAACCATGTCAGACTCATGATTGATTTTTCGGGTCCCCGTCTGTGTACCTAGGTAATAATCTCTTCTAGGTAAAATTGTGCACATGCGTAGTCAAAGAGGATGATGTAAATAATCACATTTTTCACTCATTTTGATTAAAAGACTTTTCCTACCCTTACCTTAGGGAATGTAGGTTGATATGATGTAGGCTTCATTAACTTAAAAAGAAATCAAATACAAATGCATAGCGATTGAATAACACTGGTTTGTCTCAACAATTCAGTAAGGACATGCACATTTTCTTTTTGCCGTTAAGCACATTGTGCTGATTGTCCTGTTACATAATTTCACTTTGAGAAAAGCAATACTCTTGTAGTTCCCATGGATTAGGGACTTTGCTAGCAAGTCCTCCAAGCCATTGAATGAGACTGACAATTGTAGCCAGCAAATGCTTCTGGAAAACCCCTTCAACTGATATTTCCTCAACCACCATGTTTTGGAGGTTGAGGAACATCCTCCGGGTCTCCAGATCAGGGGCTCACAACGCCCAGACTGTTGACTGGTACTGGTCCGTGACCTGTTAGGAACCGGGCTGCACAGCAGGAGGTGAGCAGCGGATGACCAAGTGAGCAGAAGCTGCTCCCCATTGCCCGAATTACCACCTGAACTCCGCCTCCTGTCAGATCAGCGGCAGCATCAGATTCTCATAGGAGTGCAAACCCTACTGTGAACTGTGTGCCAGAAATCTACATTGTGCGCTCTTTATGAGAATCGAATGGCTGATGATCTGAGGTGGAACAGTTTCAACCTGAAACCATCCCCCTTCCCTACCCCCCACCCGTGGAAAAATTGTCTTCCACGAAACCGGTCCCTGGTGCCAAAAAAGGTTGGGGACCGCTGTTCTAGATCATGTTCAGGAATATAATGGAGGCAGAGACTGCTGATCATTTGAGTATCCTTCAGTCCTTACACTTGAAAGCATCTGTATGACTCCAAGGCACGGGAACGTGGTGCCCAGGAGAGTTTCCATCTGCATCCAGGGAAGGCCTGTATAGCCAGTGGAGAGCATCTGCACCCACTGACTGCCCACCCTGGCCAGGGACTCACTGGTTGCAATTCTTTATGTTTAGGAAAGAGATCCTAATATTTGTTCCAGCTGTCTAAGGAATATACATAGTGAGACTGTCTTCCACCGCATTTCCATCTATAGAACACTGTTGAACACTGTTTTCCTTAGCTTTGTCTTAACTTCTGTGGTGGGTGGTAAGGACTAGAAACATGTCTTTTTATTTTTTATTTTTTTGCGACAGAGGCTCACTCTGTTGCCTAAGCTGGAGTGCAGTGGCACCATCTTGGCTCACTGCAACCTCTGCCTCCTGGGTTCAAGCGATTCTTGCCTCAGTCTCCTGAGTAGCTGAGATTACAGGCATGCGCCACCACGCCAGGCTAAGTTTTTATATTTTTAGTAGAGATGGGATTTCACCGTGTTGATCAGGCTGGTCTTGAACTCCTGGCCTCAAGTGATCCACCCACCTTGGCCTCCCAAAATGCTGGGATTACAGGTGTGAGCCACCACGCTTGGCCAGGACTACAAACATCTGTCTTTTCTTTCTGGGGATAGATGGTTTTGTGGCTTCCCATCTCGGTCTTCTTTTTGTGGCTCTGAAACTTTTTATGTGCCTACTTTTTGGGATGCTGAAAGTGTTTATATTTATGGCTAGGTGCAGAGAAACAGAGAATAAGCTGTTATTCAGGAGAGAGGTAGAGGAGGCTTTAAGTTGAAAACAAGAGAGGAGGTTGGAGGGTTCTGCATGTGTCAGGGCAGCTTCTGGATTGAGCTATAAGTTGAGGAGACATTGGCCTCTTTCTTCTGTGGTCTGTATCTGATTCAGTAAAGCAACATTTCCCTTAAGAAAGGACATATGGCTTGGTAATCTGTTTTAAGCCAAAGAGCCTGCCTCCAGAATTGCATGGACCCACTTTCATTTCCACTTTAGTTCTCTAAGGTTTAGTTTTCAAGAACCCTAAAGATGCATGTTGCGATACAAACAACAAGAAAGTTCACAAAGAAGGCTTCGGCTCAAATGTGTGGGGTTTTGTTGCTACTGTTGTTTTTATCTTATCCATGATTAACAGACTTTTCACAGAAACAGGGGTGATAGGGGATGCGTAGGAACAGTCTCCCTAGGCAATGGTAATTAAAACAGGAAATAGAATAAAAATTAAACATTCTAATAAAGCTTAAAATTCATTTTCAGAGGGCACTGGGCTCTTTATAAGCTATTACCACAGAACAGCTGGAGTCTTTTTTCTGCATTTAAGTTAGTCACCACCTTTGTTGACTCTTATGAGTATTCATTAAAGATAGGGAAACTTCATTAGGCTTAACTAAATAAATTGACCTTCTCTGGATTTGAACAAGTGGATAATTACCTATGGTAAATTACCTTCATTGTATATATATCTATAAAAAGGTAATATCAACTCAGGAGGCTGAGGTGGGAGGATCGCTGAGCCCAGGAATTCAAAGCTGCAGTGAGCCATGATAGCACCACTGCACTCCAGCCTGGGTGACAGAGCGAGACCGTCTTATCTCTTTACAGAAACAAACAAACAAAAAACAGGTACTTTCAAACAGACTTTCTGTGGTTTGGGGTCAGGAAGCTTGGGATTTCATGAGCAGCTTTTAGGGATATATCCAGAAGTGCTTCTGATGCCTGTATTATGAAGAGATTTAAATAACAGACAAAGTATGATGACTTTCACCAGCAATATTTGCCCACTTTTTAAGTAGAATTTAAATTTTAAAAATTTTATAAATGTTTATCTCATTATATGTTCTCTCCATCAGTTGCTTTTTTTTTTTTTTAACAACCTACTATTCTTTTGTGCCTTTCCCAAAAACTCAGGTATGTGATTAGTCTTAATATTGTCAGTTTTAAAAATTCCTTTAAAGTAATTTTACTTGCTGAAGATGGGGCCTGGGGTGTATTTTACTGTAATAACTTAATTATCCGGAAACAACCCAAATATTCGTTCATAGGGAGCTAGTTACATAAAATACGGTTTATACACTACAGTGGAATACTATACAGCCATAAAAACAAAGAATTTATACTGATATGGAATGATCTCTAGGTTATATATATTGTTCTTTTTTCTTTTTTTTTTTTTCTTTTGAGACGGAGTTTCACTCCTGTTTCCCAGGCTGTAGTGCAATGGCACGATCTTGGCTCACTGCAACCTCTGCCTCCCGGGTTCAAGCAATTCTTCTGCCTCAGCCTCCCGAGTAGCTGGGATTACAGGTGTGCATCACCATGTACAACTAGTCTTGTATTTTTTGTAGAGACAGGGTTTCTCCGTGTTGGTCAGGCTGGTCTTGCACTCCTGATCTCAAGTGATCCACCCACTTTGGCCTCCCAAAGTGCTGGGATTACAGGCATGAGCCACTGTGCCAAGCAAAGTATAGAACAATGTATATCCTATGATTTGTGTTAAAGGGACCAAAGGGAAAAAAAAGACGTGTGTCTGTGTGTTTATGTATACACAGATACCACTGAAGGGATATGCAAGAGACTGATAGCTTCATTCCTCACTGTGTGTTTATGTATACACAGATACCACTGAAGGGATATGCAAGAGACTGATAGCTTCATTCCTCACTGTGTGTTTATGTATACACAGATACCACTGAAGGGATATGCAAGAGACTGATAGCTTCATTCCTCACTGTGTGTTTATGTATACACAGATACCACTGAAGGGATATGCAAGAGACTGATAGCTTCATTCCTCACTGTGTGTTTATGTATACACAGATACCACTGAAGGGATATGCAAGAGACTGATAGCTTCATTCCTCACTGTGTGTTTATGTATACACAGATACCACTGAAGGGATATGCAAGAGACTGATAGCTTCATTCCTCACTGTGTGTTTATGTATACACAGATACCACTGAAGGGATATGCAAGAGACTGATAGCTTCATTCCTCACTGTGTGTTTATGTATACACAGATACCACTGAAGGGATATGCAAGAGACTGATAGCTTCATTCCTCACTGTGTGTTTATGTATACACAGATACCACTGAAGGGATATGCAAGAGACTGATAGCTTCATTCCTCACTGTGTGTTTATGTATACACAGATACCACTGAAGGGATATGCAAGAGACTGATAGCTTCATTCCTCACTGTGTGTTTATGTATACACAGATACCACTGAAGGGATATGCAAGAGACTGATAGCTTCATTCCTCACTGTGTGTTTATGTATACACAGATACCACTGAAGGGATATGCAAGAGACTGATAGCTTCATTCCTCACTGTGTGTTTATGTATACACAGATACCACTGAAGGGATATGCAAGAGACTGATAGCTTCATTCCTCACTGTGTGTTTATGTATACACAGATACCACTGAAGGGATATGCAAGAGACTGATAGCTTCATTCCTCACTGTGTGTTTATGTATACACAGATACCACTGAAGGGATATGCAAGAGACTGATAGCTTCATTCCTCACTGTGTGTTTATGTATACACAGATACCACTGAAGGGATATGCAAGAGACTGATAGCTTCATTCCTCACTGTGTGTTTATGTATACACAGATACCACTGAAGGGATATGCAAGAGACTGATAGCTTCATTCCTCACTGTGTGTTTATGTATACACAGATACCACTGAAGGGATATGCAAGAGACTGATAGCTTCATTCCTCACTGTGTGTTTATGTATACACAGATACCACTGAAGGGATATGCAAGAGACTGATAGCTTCATTCCTCACTGTGTGTTTATGTATACACAGATACCACTGAAGGGATATGCAAGAGACTGATAGCTTCATTCCTCACTGTGTGTTTATGTATACACAGATACCACTGAAGGGATATGCAAGAGACTGATAGCTTCATTCCTCACTGTGTGTTTATGTATACACAGATACCACTGAAGGGATATGCAAGAGACTGATAGCTTCATTCCTTATGGGGTAGGGCATTGGGTAGCCAAGGAACAAAGGTGAGAGGATGGATTTTTCTTTGAACCCTTTCGTACCACTTGAATTTCTTTTTCCTTTTTTTTTTTTTTATTCTACTTTAAGGTTTAGGGTACATGTGCACAACGTGTAGGTTTGTTACATATGTATACATGTGCCATGTTGGTGTGCTGCACCTATTAACTCGTCATTTAACATTAGGTATCTCTCCTAATCCTATCCCTCCCCCCTCCCCCCACCCTGTTACCACTTGAAGTTTTATACCAAAGAAACCTATTACTCATTCAAAAAATAAATACATAAAATTAATATGTTAAAAAATAAGTAATGAATTCTTATCATAATCTTACCTTCAAAAAACAAAACTTAATTATCTATAGTGTTGTCCAGTAGAATTTTCTGTGATGATAGGAATGTTGTATATTTGCACCATCCAATACTACTAGCCATATGTGGCTTTTGATCACTTAAAACATGACTTGTGCAACTGAGGAGCTAATTTTTAAATTTTATTTTAATTAGTCTAAGTTTAAGTGGCTACTTCTGGCTAGGAGCTACCACACTGATTGGGTATAGATCTAAAGTATATGGCTTAAGACCGAGTGTGGTGGCTCATGCCTGTAATCCCAGCACTTTGAGAGGCCGAGGCAGATGGATCACCTGAAGTCAGGAGTTTAAGACCAGTCTGGCCAACATGGCAAAACCCCGTCTCTACTAAAAATACAAAAATCAGCTAGGTGTGGTGGCAGGCACCTGTATTCCTAGCTACTAGGGTGGTTGAGGCGGGAGAATCACTTGAACTCGGGAGGCGGAGATTGCGGTGAGCTGAGATCATGCCACTGCACTCCAGCCTGGAAGCAAGACTCCGTCTCAAAAAATAAAAATAAAAAATAAAAATAAATAAAGTGGATGGCTTAGAGTATCTTTTCTGTTTAGACCTGACTAAAGCTTAGACATAATTGTTAGTTTAGGCTCTCAGGGTAAAATTTATTACTGTAAATCCAAAAAATCCCTTCTTCTTCTTTTTTTTTTTTTTTTTGGTCCTTGAATTAAATGCTGTCACCTCCTTCTTGAAAGGAGAAACTATTAGTCAGATTTGAAAATCCTCTTTATCACCCAGGAAAATCATTTTTATGGACACTTTGTCTTTCTGTAGTCTGACTTAGAAGCAGCCTGTTTTTGATAGGTTGAAGTTTTCATCTTGAACACAAACCCTGTTTGTGTGTCCCCTACTCCCCAGTTTGATGTGCCAGGCACTTTGTTCTCAAGCCCAGCAGCTGTTGTGGGATGAGGGGACATTTTGCATGCTTAGCCAGCAGCTGCCAGAAACATTTCTAATCTGGTTTTGGCAGGAAATAGGGCACAAGTGGAAGCCAAGTTAAAAGAAGCTGGAAAAATAAACAGAATAACTTTAGATGTCACTTAATATATGGTCCATTTTCAGCCGAAGATTTGCCCTAGTAATTTGTTAATATGACTGGACTGTGATCCCTTCCAAAGGCAGGGTTGAATATAGTCACCTTTGAGATCCAGGATGTAGTCCAGTGCTTGGAATATGCTTGTAGGAGGTTATTGTTATTATTTTTTCAATGATAGACTATACTGCAAATTTGTTTAATTGATTTAATTAGTAGCTTAAAACTGTTGTTCACCCGAGATAAACTAGTTCTAGGTTATCACTGGTTATGGGTCCCTTCTCTCTTCTTTCTGCTACACAATATCACCCACCCTCTCCTCTAAAGCAACACATTTTGAACATTTTTTTTTTTTTTTTTGAGACAGAGTCTCACTCTGTCACCCAGACTGGAGTGCAGTAGTATGATCTTGGCTTGCTGCAACCTCCGCCTCCTGGTTTCAAGCTACTTCCCTGCCTGAGCCTCTTGAGTAGCTGGGACTACAGGCACACGTTACCACACCCAGCTAATTTTTGTATTTTTAGTAGAGACGGGGTTTTACCATGTTGGTCAGGCTGGTCTCGAACTCCTGACCTCAAGTGATCTGCCCTGCCTCAGCCTCCCAAAGTGCTGGGATTACAGGTGTGAGTCATCACACCTGGCCTTTGAACATTCTTCAAACATTATTTAGACTGGGCATGGTGGCTCATGCCTGTAATCCCAGCACTTTGGGAGGCTGAGGCAAGAGGATTGCTTGAGTCTAGGAGTTTGAGACCAGCCTGGGCAACATAGCAAGACCCCATCTCTAAAAAAAAATTAGCTAGGTGTGGTCGTGCATGCCTATAGTCCCAGCTACTTAGGGGGCTGAGGCAGGAGGATCAGTTGAGCCTGGGAGGTTGAGGCTGCAGTGAGCCATGATCACACCACTGTTCTCCAGCCTGGGTGACAGAGCTGGATGACCCTGTCTCCAAAACAAAACAAAACACTGTTATTTATTCATCTATTCTGCTGCAAGCAAGCATATTTTGCATATTTGTGAGCAAGAAATAAGCACATCTTAATTTAATCTATCTTTTCTACAAAGTAAAAGGGTTTCAAAAGGTGAAGATACAGGTATAAATGTGGTGTCTTTTTAAATGGAAGGCAAAAATTCTTCAGGTTGGAATATCCAATAAGAGAGTCTTTATCTCTAAAGTGGAAAATTTACTAAAATCGTTCTTTTGGGTTTCCAGTTCTTCTTTCCATCAAATTCTGCATCCTCTAGAAGCCCAAGCAGCCCCAGCCTTGTAGATTCCCAAGAACGTGTAAGGTGTCAAGTGTCGTCTGTGAGGAAGGGATCTGAAATCCGATGGACCTGTGCTAAACCGTGTTTGGTTTTCTTTGCAGACCTTCACTGCCTGGTGTAACTCCCACCTAAGGAAAGCCGGCACCCAGATTGAGAACATCGAGGAAGACTTCAGGAATGGCCTTAAGCTCATGCTGCTTTTGGAAGTCATCTCAGGTTGGTGTTATATATCCCATCCTATGCTTTCATGTGTTATCAGTAGGTGAGCATCTATTTAAAGATGACTACATCAGAAGTTCGCTTTGAACTTGGCTGGGCAAGAACATGGTATTATTGCCAAAGAAAACCTTTCCAAAGAACAATCTGCCTGGAGTTATTTTTCCGTTCTAAAAAAAGGAGTGAATTCTCTTTAAAAATCACTTATTAAAATAATGTTTATACCACCAAGCTTGAAACAAAATAAGAGAAGAAAAAATGACTTCACACGACTCCCTCCATGCTGCCCTTTCTACTCTTCGTCCAGCTAGAGTGTATTCCAGAAATCATCTTGTATCCAAAAATCTACTGTACATGTTGGCAGAACTCTGAACATATAAGCTAAAATCCCAGTGGGGCTATGATTTGTCCTGAATTTCAGTTGGCTGATTTAGACTTTGGACTAGAGAATGGATCACCTTTGGAGAAGTGTGACTGGGAAGGATTATGGCAGATCTGCCCTGATCCATCTGTCTTCATAATCAGGTGTCGAACGAGCCCTGGCAGCCACCTCTGTGATTTTAACTGGCCATCCTGACTTCCTCTAACCGTTAGCCAGCAACTCTGAATACTCCAGGGACTCTAACCAGCTTCTCTTTTTACTCATTTGTAAGTTGGATCATGGGCCAAACCAGACTCTCCCTGCAGATCTGAAAAGCATGTGTCCTTCATAGTATGGCTCCCTGCTGGTCCATTTGATTCTGAAAGTTTCTGGGTTAGTGTTCCCTCATTGCTGTGATTTAGAGAGACCAGGCACACATCAGAAATAGTCATGTAACCTTCTCTTTTTAAGGAAAAGATGGATGCTTAGTTTTGGCATCTTGATTCCGCATCAAGAGGTCACTGTCTCTATGTCTGCATGATTCTCTTTTCATCCAACAGGGGAAAGGCTGCCCAAACCTGACCGGGGAAAAATGCGGTTCCACAAAATTGCTAATGTCAACAAAGCTTTGGATTACATAGCCAGCAAAGGGGTGAAACTGGTGTCCATTGGCGCTGAAGGTGAGAGGTGTGGTGGGTGGTCCTGTCTGCCACACTGACCTAATAGCGTAGGTGTGGGCTGCGACTTGAATTCTCCCCTTCTTCCCTCCCTTTCACCATTTACTGTACCTGCCTTGTATCAGGCTCTCTCTTAGGGCGCTCGGTGCACAAAGATAAGAACAAATGGTACCATGAGTGGGAGACCAAGCTCTAGGTTCTTTGTAAAGCATAGAATTAAATATAATGCTGTCATCTTCAGAAGACTTAAAGGACTGAGAAAGAACTTACACATCCCAATGACTCTTAATAAGAACTAACTAATAGGAAGGAAGTGGCCTCTTTGTTCTCTATGGGAGACTGGGAATTTGGTGAGGTCAGCGGGAGCTGAGATTTCCACCCATATCTCTGTATGCACAACTGAGTCCTGCTACTTGTCAGCTGCGGAATGCCGTAAGAAGGGTCAGGGTAAAGATGAGACTGTGTTCTCTTTATTTGATTATTTAAAACTTTAGCTCATGGCTGGGCACAGTGGCTCATGCTCATCCCAGCACTTTGAGAGGCTGAGGCGGGTAGATCACCTGAGGTGAGGAGTTCAAGACCAGCCTGGCCAACGTGGTGAAACCCCATCTCTACTAAATTTACAAAAAATTAGCTGGGTGTGGTGGCGCATGCCTGTAGTCCTTGTAGTCCCAGCTACTCAGGAGGTTGAGGCAGGAGAATTGCTTGATCCCAGGAGGCGGAGGTTGCAGTGAGCCACGGTTGTGTCACTGCACTGCGGCCTGGGCGACAGAGTGAGACTCCATCTCAAAAAAAAAAAAAAACCTTAGCTATTACATCTTAAAACTTTGGAAACTCCCGGGTGGTTTTCACTGATAATACATATGCAAGATTTGTGCTTATTATTAACTTAGAATTTATTTAAACTAGAGACATTTGGTTATGAATACTGTATTTATAACCAGACATACTGCGGTGCTTATAAAAACATAAACTGGTCTTTCCATCCATATGCACATTTTCCAATAGCTCTGAAGTCAACATTTATATATAGGAAAAAAGTTACGTACAGACTATGTTATCTTTACATTAATTTGTTGTTTTCTTACCTGCAGAAATTGTTGATGGCAACGTGAAAATGACCCTGGGTATGATCTGGACCATCATCCTTCGCTTTGCTATTCAGGATATTTCGGTTGAAGGTAAAAGACATGGTTAAAAGTCTAATTGTATAATCTGTAAATTGAGCTTGTGAATTAAAATTTGAGCAAGATGTTTTAAAGTCCAACAGTCACTTACATGATTGAATGAGAGACATGTAAGTGGGTTCTTATAAATTTTGTATGTGTATAGGAAAAGACCTCGGCAGCACTGTTTCATTCATGGGGGTGGAATCGGTTTGCAAAAGATGAGCACATGTTCAGAACAGAAGTCGCTTTTTAAAATGAGCATTTATTGAGCTTCTTGATTGCTTATTATACTAGTAAATTTACAGCTATGGCAGAGTTCTTTAGTCTTACAACTGAAACACTTTCTTTCCCCCTGGTATAAAAAAAGAATCTGTTGCAACCCATGTTTGTTATTTCCTTAACTTTCTTCCTCCCTATCTCTCTCCCTCTCTTTTTCTTTTTTCTTCTTTTTCTTTTTAAACAAGACCTCTATTGTCACTGTATCTTTTGGCCTAACTACTGTTTCATCATTATCATAGAATCTTAATCCTTGACACTGCCACTGAAGATAAAAATCTTTAGTCTTTTACACCAACTACACTCCCAAATATTTTGATGAATTCAGCACTGTTGAAAAGTGTCAAATTGGCATTCTTAAAATTGGAACTTTGCCTGTTTGGCCCTCAAATCACAAAGTGTATAACTGCAGAATGTGTTTCAGGGCTGCTGCATTGTCCAACTATTTGGCCCCTTCTGACTCTGTAATCCAGTAGGTAACCAGGTACCTGAGTGGTAAGGG
Organism: Homo sapiens; assembly: GCF_000001405.40. NCBI lineage: Eukaryota > Metazoa > Chordata > Mammalia > Primates > Hominidae > Homo > Homo sapiens. Next base: position 236,720,958 of record NC_000001.11, read on the forward strand.
GTGGAGACGTTATTTATAATTCTGCCCAGGCCACAGTAGCCTCTGACTCTGGTTTTTGTTTTTTGTTTTTTTTTTTTTTTTTTTTTTTGAGACGGAGTCTCACTCTGGCACCCAGGCTGGAGTTCAGTGGCGCGATCTTGGCTCACTGCAAGCTCTGCCTCCTGGGTCCACGCCATTCTCCTGCCTCAGCCTCACGAGTAGCTGGGACTACAGGCGCCCACCACCATGCTGGCTAATTTTTCATATTTTTAGTAGAGACGGGGTTTCACTGTGTTAGCCAGGATGGTCTCGATCTCCTGAGCTCGTGATCCGCCCGCCTCAGCCTCCCAAAGTGCTGGGATTACAGGCATGAGACTCTGGTCTTTTTAAGTGATTTTAGGTACTCATCAACCAACAAACATTAAGAAACAACACTTTGCCTACTTGTACCAGCTGACATGAAGCCTGCAGTACTTGCCCTTATGGACCTTCAAACTCACTTCAATTATTCCCTTCTGGCACCGGAGACCGACTTATGTCATCTAAAAGTCAAACTAAAATCTAATGGCATTAAAACAATTCAAGCTCAGGAATGACAGCCAGCTTGAATTAATACATAGTCTGACTTTGAAAACTTTTGTACAATATAGTTCTATTACAGTACCTTCCTTTATGCTAATGAAAGAAACAAGAGGCTTCCTAAAATTCTTGCTTTATTTAAAAATTGTAAGTTGTAATAATTTTATCAGTTTTTATATACTTCTAAATTTAAATATTTAAACTGTTGAACCCACTTTAAATAAATACTACTTTTAGAAATCTTGGTCACACTGTTGCTGGTCTAGCAAATCCTTTTTCCACAAATATTACAGAGGTGAAGTTGACCTCAAGTTGTTTCTGATTGGTTACAAATTTTAAATTAGTGATAATATGAATTCAAACTTAATTATATTTCAAGTGTAGGTATGAATGGTATTATCCATTAGAGTTTTCCCCAAAATTGTTATTAACATGCCCAAAGCAAGATAGCTAAATCACAATATTTTGTAAAATTTTGCGATAAAAGGCTATATTAATCTGCTCTTCACAAGACTAAGAAATTAAACATTAAAAAATTATAATTTTATTAGGAAAGTACCTACTAGATCTCTTCAAGCAGATGGTTCTGCAGTGTCCAACACAGTAGATACTGTCAGTTTGCTAATTTATATTTTTATTTGTTTTAGTTTCATGGAGTAATTGTTTAACAACCTCATTTAACTTCTGTAAGTCTACAGAAAAATCATCTTTATTTGTTTTAATGATGTGTGGTATGTTGAAAAATTCATTGTTATTAGAATCAAAGAAACAATTCTTTGAGGAGTGAGTTTCCTTCAGCAAAATGATGGGCCTCTTCCAAGAAAGAAAATGAGAGATTAGGCCGGGCGCGGTGGCTCACGCCTGTAACCCCAGCACTTTGGGAGGCCAAGGTGAGTGGATCATGAGGTCAGCAGTTCGAGACCAGCCTGGCCAACATGGTGAAATCCCGTCTCTACTAAAAATACAAAAATTAGCCAGGTGTGGTGGCATGTGCCTGTAATCCCAGCTACTCAGGCGGCTAAGGCAGGAGAATCGCTTGAACCTGGGAGGTGGAGGTTGCAGTGAGCTGAGACCACACCACTGCACTCCAGCCTGGGTAACAGAGCAAGACTCCGTCTCAAAAAAAAAAAAAAAAAGAAAAAGAAAATGAGAGATTAATATATCTGTTGATGAAGGCAGTGCAGATGTAAGTAGATGATGGAGCTCCTTGGGGTGTCATTCAGTGCTTTGTGATGCAATGAGAAATGTTACTGCCAATCTGTAACATGCTTTTTATACCATGATCAGGGTTTTGTGTGTGGACCTGTTTGTGCCAAATGGCCGCATTTCCACTTTCCCATACACCTTTCGGGAGTAGGTTTTCCAGTAATGTACGTAATTCACACAAGGTTGTTAACCTTTTGCTGAAAGCCTAAAACTGGATTTGGGGTTGGAGGAGGGTCAGCTTTGATTGTAGTAACCAATTGAAGAAGGAAAAAGCCTTGTTCGGCATTCATGGCCCAAGAGTGTTCACACATATTCAGGCAGAAATTAAGTGAAACTCCGTGACTTGTAAATCTAAACTTCAGTGGCAATTTTAAGGTGTTGTAGATATACTGTACCTTTGTTTGCTTTTCTAACCTGGTAAGTTTTATTTAAACTCTATTAAATACATCCCATTATTTCTTCCTGATGTACTTCTTCTTCTTAATTTCATTGGTCAGGACTGCAAAGACAGGCAGAACAACTGGCTGTGGAGTTCCAGATTTCAATGTCCATATCAATTCACATTTTAATTAAGTCTTAACAGTTTCACTTTATTTTCCCTTAACTAGCACTTGCTAATTAAAAGACATGCACAGGAGTTGTTCAAGTTATAGCACATGGAACTTTAGGGGTGTGTGTATTTTATCTGGGTTATGGGTCCAAGAAAGTATGAACTAAAATGGACAGTTTTTTGTTTTGTGTTGTTTTGTTTTGTTTTGTTTGAGACAGGAGTCTCACTCTGTCACCCAGGCTGGAGTGCAGTGGTGCAATCTCGGTTCACTGTAACCTCTGCCTCCCAGGCTCAAGCAATTCTCCTGCCTTAGCCTCCCAAGTAGCTGGGATTACAAGTGCCCGCCACCGTGCCCGGCTAATTTTTGTATTTTTAGTAGAGATGGGATTCGCCATCTTGGGTCTTGAACTCCTGACCTCAGGTAATCCACCAGCCTCGGCCTCCCAAAGTGCTGGGATTACAGGTGTGAGCCACTGTGCCTGGCCTAAAAATGGACAATTTAGATAAATAATTACAAAATTATTTTCATTTGAAAAAATCAACTTCAACCCCTTCCTAAGATGGAAGGCCCCATGTTAGTTAGGAATCGACATGCTTTAGGGAATTTCTAAATTGTTAACATTTAAATATAGGCGGAATCCTAAGTTATATAAGTGGCTTTGAGGAGCTGTTTAGATGTGTGTCGGTTTGGGTCCTCCAGGAAGCAAGTGCCAAGACTTACTAGAAATTGTTGTAGTCTTTCCAGGCCTTTATAAAAACATGCCATAGCATGGATGGCTTAAACAGCCGACCTTTATTTTCTCACAGTTCTTGAGGCTGGAAGTCCAAAATCAGAGTGCCAGCATGGTCTGGTTCTGTGAGGATCCTCTTCCTGGCTTGCAGATGGCTGCTGCCTTGATGTGCCGCACGTGGTGGGTGGGGGTGGGGGAGAACCTGCCAATGAGCAGGCTCCCTGGTGTCTCTCTCATGAGGACACTAATCCGATCATGAGGGCCCCACCCTCGTGACCTCATCTCACCCTAAGCACCTCCTAAAGGCCCCATCTCCAAATACAGGCACATTAGGGTCTAGGGCTTCAACATATGAATTTGGTGATGGGCGGGAAGACACCAACATTGAGGCCATACCAGAAGTGCAGGAGATTTTTTGGGGAAAATGCCTATGCAGGATGAAGGGGAGGGAGCAGGAGATGCCTGAGGAGCCTTCAGACCAGAGCTCCTGGCTGACACCTGGGCCGAGAAGAGGAAGGGAGGAGGCTTGGGGAAGAAGGTCTCCGACTGCAGTGCAGTTCTGAGGTTAATTTCGCCAGGCTGATGGAGTCTTTAATCCTAGGCTGCCCTGAGAGGAGTCTCACGTCGCATAGGGGTGTCTCAGCTCTGCTGCTCACCCCCCAGTCTTTGGCTGGAGCAGCTCTGGGGAATGTGGCCTCAGTGGGAATGCAGGGGTGTGGTGCATTCAGGGGGCTGCAGCTGGCACGTCAGTTGCCTGCCCTGTGCTCGCAGCTGAAGCCGTGGGACGTCTGAGCGGCACATTTTTATGGTCATCACAGATGGTGCTGGGTTTTTCCTTTTTTTTTTTTTTTTTTTTTTGGTGAGAAGTCAATTGGCCAAACTTGAAATTTACCAATAAAACCCTTTAAGTGTTACAAAATCACTGGGCAAAGGAATACATTTGAGATGTGGTAGCATCTGTGAATTCCATTTACCTAAGAGTATGAATTACAAACCAGATGAATGACAGATTAGTTGTCATCAACTACACACAGTTTATTTTTTCATGTGAGTTGCACTGTAGACTATTTATGTTTGCATATTTTTCAGGATTGTGTACAGTAAACCTTAAGTGAATACAAAGGATCCAATTGTCCTGTAAGACTCACTTCAATTACAGATTGTGCTCAGTATTAAACTTTGCTAGTACTTTCAGGATGCAGTCAATCAAGAGGCAGGGAAAGGTCTGTCAGCATCCACAGCCTCCTTTTCAAATTGGACACTTAGTCTCTGGTCCGAATAATAGGTGCCCCCAGTGTCACCTCACACAATGGGGTATACACAGTTTTTAAAAATTTATTTTCAGCTGGGCACAGTAGCTCACACCTAAAATCCCAGCACTTTGGGAGGCTGAGGCAGGTGGATCACCTGAGGTCAGGAGTTCAAGACCAGCCTGGCCAACGTGGCAAAATCCTGTCTCTACTAAAAATACAAAAATTAACCGGGCATGGTGGTGGCACCTGTAGTCCCAGCTACTCGGGAGGCTGAGGCAGGAGAATCTTTTGAACCCGGGAGGCAGAGGTTGCAGTGAGCCAAGATCCCACCACTGCACTCCAGCCTGGGTGACAGAGTGAGACTGTGCCTCAAAAAAAATTAAAAAAAGTATTTTCATTTAAAAAGGGGCGAGTCACCAACCACCCTGAAGTCTAGTTTTAGTGTCTTTTTATGTTGGAGCTTGTGGCTGCTCCTGCATTGTCCTTTTGAAGTCCCTAAGTGTCATCAGAATTTACTCACCAAGATCAGGGTTCTGGCTCCTATGCACTTGCCGAGGCTGTAGGAAGAGACCCCCTGGGTGATCGACCCCCTGGGAGGTCTGTTTCAAAAGTGACTAGGAGCTAAGTGAACTAAGCGGCATTTCCCTGGGGCCACTTTTTCTTGGCTGTCATTACAGAAACATCTGCCAAAGAAGGTCTGCTGCTTTGGTGTCAGAGGAAAACTGCTCCTTATAGAAATGTGAACATTCAGAACTTCCATACTAGGTGAGCACCCAGGGCCCCTGGTCCTTGTATTCTCAGTGGAATCTGTGGGTAGCATGGGGAACAGTGTTTGTGTGCACCCGTGTTTTCCTCCTGTCTGAGAAGCCTTTTATGTATCGAGGAGAACTCAGGCTGTAGAATTCTTGATGCTTAAAGTCTCCCAGAGGAAAACATTGGATTAAGCCTTAGCATGCTGGTAAACAGCACTGTATTTGTAAGTGAATGGTATTGCAGTACCAGAAGGATGCTACTGAGTTTGGGGGTGTAAGCATGCATCTTACTCTAGCCTTCACCCTGGTATTGGGAAAAGGCAGCAGGAATGGCTGTTGTTTCTCAGGGATGAGGGAGACCCTGGCAGAGTCTGCGTACCCCCCACTAGCGACTCTTCAGCCCTCAGCCCTGTAGGAAATAGATCCTTCATCCATCAGCTTTGCTCTGCTGAAATTCAAAAGATGGAGAAAAATTATGTCTGAAAAATGGTAGGAAATGAGATGAATGAAATCTCGACATCAGGGGAGAGCATGATTCTGTCACTTGCTTCAGTCTTTCTCATGTAGAGTGGTCATTATGATGTTGAAGTAAAAGAGTTGGTTATATTTTCACCTTTGGATGCTAGGTTACCCATGAATGCAAAAAGGCCACTGAGATAATCAGAAAAAGGAAAGATAAGGATGAACCACGGTGAAAAATTGGGGAGGTTCTTCTAGTTGAACAAATATTTTCAGAATGTCTACCAAGTGTCAGGCACTGAGCCAGGCCTTGGGAAGACAAAGGGGAAGAGAATCCTTCTTTGTCCCTACACCATGCTGTTTGGCAGATGAGAGGAGCTACCAAGGGCTGGGACTTTCTGCAGGTGTCAAAGTCAGAGTGCCCAGATCTGCATCCACTCATCTTGCTTTTCTTTTTCTGGCTCCTAGTTGGCCCAAGTACTTCAGCATTGTAGCACTGATAACTCTCACGGAGGTCTCCTTCCCCAGACCCTTTGAGGAACAGAACTCCCACACTCTGCTGTCACTGAACCCGCTGTCGCCAGCAAGCTCTGGCCTGCCCTTGTCTATGGGGCATTTAGAGCTGGTGTCTACGGCGGAACAGACCAGAAATAAACATCTGCCCTGCTAATTGCATGTCCTCCTTCACCTACATGCCTTTGCCTTAAAAAAAGAAAAAGAAAAAAAAAAGAACTTAAAGACAGAGGAGTATCTGGGACCTAATGGAGGTTTTTGAAGCGTCCTAAAAACTTTTAGAGGAAGTGTGTTCTGGACATTTGCAGGGTAGACGTCCTTGTGTATATTTATTGGGCAGACTCAGGGGTAAGGGCCAGAATGGAGAGTTGGAGAAGAGAGAGGAACCCTGGGACTGGCCGAGCAGGGACAGCAGTAGAGACATCTCCCTTCCTGTCACTGCCTGTGCCAGCACGGACCAGATCAGGGCAGGAGACAGGGCAAGTCTCAGGCAAGGAAGTCAAAAGGAGAGGAGTACCGTGGACCCTGGGAAGAAGATGAGTGTTCAAGCTCACCGGGCGGGGTAAAGAGGAAGCTACATGGGGCCCTCCGTGCATGAAGTCAGACAGAAGGAAGGCCAACATCTGACTGAGTGCAGATGCTGGCTGCTTCTTTCTCTCCACTAACACGTGTTCCTGTTCTTCTCGACGGCTGTGAAGCTGGAAAGATGGCCTTGGACTCTGTGCCCTCATCCACCGACACCGGCCTGACCTCATTGACTACTCAAAGCTTAACAAGGTTATTCTGGGTGGCCTGGCATGCAGTGTCCCCAGCCACGCGTCTCAGCATGTCCTGCAAATGAGCACATCAGCACTAGCCTAGCACAAACCCCAGGGCCACCTGCAGAAACGGCCACCAGGAAAAAGCACATTCTCCCAGCTAGCCTTTCCCATGATCCAAGTATGAAGAGTGGCCAGGAAAACACTTACCTCTTAAAATCAGGGAAAACAAGACCCAAAGTTAAGTCATCCCTTTTTGCCCATATCAAGATATGTTTGATGATTTGGCTTGATTTACTATGAAGGCTTTCTATATGTTCCTTAGAGATTTTACATTCCTGGATTCTAAATATGAGAAGTGAAACCTCTATTTTTGCGGGGAAGAAAGATTCAGATAGCCCAAGCCTTTTTTTTTTTTTTTTTTGAGACAGAGTCTCGCTCTGTTGCCCAAGCTGGAGTGCAGTGGTGTGATCTCGGCTCACAGCAGGCTCCGCCTCCCGGGTTCATGCCATTCTCCTGCCTCAGCCTCCCGAGTAACTGGGACTACAGGCATCCGCCACCACGCCTGGATAATTTTTTGTATTTTTAGTAGAGACGGGGTTTCACCGTGTCAGCCAGGATGGTCTCGATCTCCTGAGCTCGTGATCCGCCCGCCTCAGCCTCCCAAAGTGCTGGGATTACAGGCGTGAGCCCCTGTGCCCGGCCCATCCAAGCCTTTTTAAAGTCAAGTTCCCTTGACTTTTTCTGGAGGATTTAGTTGTAGACATATTTATTCAGAATTGATTAACTCGTCCGTCACACAAGGGCTACTTCATAACTGTCTTGTTATTGTTAGAAAATATCATTTGTAGCCTTGCATAAGAAGTTTTTGGGGCAGGCGTTTTTTTTTAGTTTTGCTTTTTTTCAGAAAATTTAACTTAGAAAACTGCAATTCTGCCTTTAAGGTAAAGGTTTAGTGTGTTTAAGTCTCAGATTAGTATTCAAATTCTTTCTTTAAAAGTAGTTTTAAGGCCGGATGTGGTGGCTCACACCTGTAGTCCCAGCACTTTGGGAAGCCGAGGCAGGAGGCTTGCTTGAGCCCAGGAGTTTGAGGCTGCAGTGGACTGTGATCACACCACTGCCCTCCAGCCTGGGCCACAGGGTGACACACCAACTCCCAAACAAAAACGTAGTTACAATGTAACCTATGATGGAAAAAGATATCAATGTCCTTTCTGAAGCTTGTGGCTGCTCTGTGCTGCCTTAGAGATAATAGTGTGTAAGGCAGTACAGAGCGTCCACAAGATTCACTAAGGCAGCACAGAGCATCCACAAGATTCAGAAGGGACCTTGATTTCTTTTTCCATCATGGGTGGTGAAACCCTGTCTGTTCTAAAAATACAAAAATTAGCTAGGCGTGGTGGCAGGTGAAACCCTGCCTCTTCTAAAAATGCAAAAATTAGCCGGGTGTGGTGGCAGACGCCTGTAATCCCAGCTACTCAGGAGGCAAGGCAGGAGAATGGCTTGAACCCAGGAGGCGGAGGTTGCAGTGAACCGAGATGGCACCACTGCCCTCCAGCCTGGGCGACAGAGCGAGACTCAGTTTCAAAAAAGAAAAGAAAAGAAAGAATGGTGTGTAAAGACTTAAGGGTAAAAGCAAGGCCCACCCTTACTACACATTTCTGCAGTAGCCACTACACGTTTCCTGCCGGGTGCTGGTGTGCTGAGCTCGCCATTCACGTGCTGTTGCTGTGTTTGGGCGTGGACTCCAGCCCTTTTGCATGCTGACCTCACTCGTGTGGCATGGATGGTCGTAAGAAGAGTGTCCTGGCTTCCACCACCTTTTTAGTTATCCCTTGCTTACCTCCTGCCCCCAGCCTGCCTCCATGGCATACAGGGTAGCATGTGAAGAGTTTACTGGTATCCTAAAGGTTAAGAATGAAATATTTTAAGGTAGCCCATGAAAACGGAACTTTTTCCCAGCTTTTCAATGGATGTATTTTCTTATCCCCTGAATTACTTTGAAATGTTCCAAGCATATAGACAGGGTACAGTTCTTTTCAATTAATCTTAATCTCATTTGCAAAATGAGGGGATTGTACTGCATAGACCCAGTTTCATTAGCAATTTATTATGGTCAGTTTGTATTACAAAACATCCGTAGATCTGTAGTAATTGGTCATCTTTAAGAAAGCAGAAAAATGATAATACAATAGCAAGTAATACTTATATAGCACCAGGGCAGGCACTGTTATAAACAAATAAACATACATGTATATTCACACATGCATATATGCATATGTATGAAATCCCACGTGCACATTTAATCTTCACAATGCACAGTAACCCTGTAAAGTAGGTACTATTATTATCCCAGTTTTACAGATGAAGAAAGTGGGAAGTTAGTAATCTACCAGAGGCCACATGGCCGATAGCTGAGGTAGGAAATCAATACTTAATTGGCACATTTTATCATTTAAATTACACTCTAAATGAGATAGCTTTCACAAAGTCTCAGGTGATAAGCTTTGTTAAAAGAACGTTTAGTTAAACACTTTTTTTTTTTTTTTACTGAAATCGCTGTATACTCTGTGAGGCCAGAAAGCTGACTTTGGTTTCTTCATTGAGCACTGTGAATATATTTGAAACCTGCACTTTTTCAGTGTTTCACTGTATAAAAATGATTGTGCTCATTGGAAAACATTGCGGTTTCTAAAATATTGAAATGACTTTGTTATTAAAATTCGTTAAAGTCACATTTCATTTTGATTTTTCTATCTTACCTCCATTTCTTTTGAAATTCTTAATTTCTTTTGAATTTCTCTAGTGGATCAAAATAAGAAATGTTGCATCTTCTTTGTTTTCACTATTTTAGTTATATACCTCTGGTTAAGTTTATTTTGCTATGTTATGTATATTTAACTAGTTTTTACGGTGGAAGGTAAATGTAATTTTAAGAACAAAATTTTTTTCATGAATTCACTTAATGATTTTCAGGTTTTGTCATTTCTTCTTGCTTTAACATGAGTTTTGCCCTTTGTAACACTAGTAACACTCTTTAGTCAGCTAAAAGTTTTAGCTAGCAACATTTTTCTTTCATCTCTTTACCCCTCAGCTTTCCAATATTTAAAATCAGGGTGCTGGTTCTCCAAGATCCCCTTCCAAGTCTGGAAAATGCATGTTTCATTATTTAGAATGATTTAAATGTTATTTCTAGGCCTGAAGATCAGTTCTGATGGATTCAGTGTGTCCTTTCTTGTCAATGCATCTGTTCTCTTAAACTCTTTGTTCACACTTTATGATTGGAGTGTGCATGGATTTTGTGGTTTCTGTCATTTTTGATGTTTCTCTAAATGTTTGAAGTGATTGGGAAAAGATGAAAAGGAAAGTTACACTATTATGATTGTGTGTGGGTGGGAAGGTGTCCGGCCTAAAGTGAGGTACATAAGAAACATTCTTCATAAGTCTTGTTTCAAAATATATTTTAAAAATCTGACTGTCTTGGTTTTCATACAGGATGACCCCATAGGAAATATTAACCTGGCCATGGAAATCGCTGAGAAGCACCTGGATATTCCTAAAATGTTGGATGCTGAAGGTGAGATGAAAATTGTGTTTGCTGAGTTACAGGAAATTTGAAGACTACAAATGTTATGGCTACACATTGGGACCTTGCAAAATTTTATAGCGAAGTTACATCCGAAGTACTTTGGATTCCTAACAAATTTCTGTCACTGGCCACATAAGTAGTAGAGATTTTCATGTGTAGCTTGTTCATAAAATTTGTTTTTAAAAATTGTACCCTCAAACAAGCCAGCAAAATTACAGGAAAAGGATTTGGTAAAAAGTTCAGCTTTGGCTAAGAAACAAAATGCTTTTATTTATAATTTTAAAAAAACATTTCCTGTATTTATTTTTTCCAACAACATAATGTTTTCTCCCTAACCACTTAGAGACAAGTGTAGCAAATAAATCCCTTTGTGACATACTTAAGAGAAAAAAATTCCTTCCTTCCAGCCAGAAGTTAGAGAATTGAAATATAGAATATGGAGCATTCAACCATCAGTGTACCATCCAAACTTTCACATATTGTTTTTAATTCATCTAAATTTAATTTATTTAGAGCTGAAAGAACTTCCATATATTTTGCACTTCAGTATCACTCATTCTGGGGACTTGTTTCAAATACTTTTTGTCCCTTTTATATGGTGAATTTGTGTGAGCTGTACCTACAGCAGACCACTGAAAGCACAAATGTGTGGACACCATTCGTTCATTTTATTTATTCATGATTTATGCCCTCAAGAAGCTTATATTCATATATTACTTTGTTCGTTATTGTAAATATTATTATTCCCTAGTGGTCCATTACTTCCACTAATTAGTGATGTTGGGGAAAACTAAGGAAATTGATTATAGTCAGTCGTCAATCTTCCATTCCTCTTTGCTTTTGGTAATTGTATTATGGCCTTTGTAACAAATTACTGCAAACTGGGCAGCCTCACACAGCAGAAATTTCATAGCTCTGGAGGCTGTGTCTGAAATCAAGGAGTAGGCAGCTCCCTAAGCCTCTAGGGGAGGATTCTTCCTCGCCTCTTCCAGCTTCTAGAAGCCCCAGACATTCTTTGGATTGTGGCAGCATCAGTCCAATCTCTCCCTCTGTCTTCACACAGCCTTTTCCCCTCTGTGAATATTTTCTTTTCTTTTTCTTTTTATTTTTTATTTTTTATTTTTTATTTTTTTTGAGACAGAGTCTCACTCCGTCGCCCAGGCTGGAGTGCAGTGGTGGGATCTGGGCTCACTGCAACCTCTGTCTCCCGGGTTCAAGAGATTCTCTTGCCTCAGCCTCCTGAGTAGCTGGGATTACAGGCATGCACCACCATGCCCAGCTACTTTTTGTTTTTTTAGTAGAGACAGGGTTTCACCATGTTGGCCAGGCTGGTCTCAAACTCCTGACCTCAGGTGATCCACCTACTTCGGCCTCCCAAAGTGCACGGATTACAGACATAAGCCACTGTGCCTGGCCTGTGAATATTTTCTTACAAGGATACCAGTCACATTGCATTAAGGGCCCATCCTACTCCAGCATGACCACATCCTCACTTGATTATATCTGCAAAGATCTAACTTCCAAATAAGGTTACATTCACAGGAGTGCTGGAAGTAAAGACTTCACTGTATCTTTTTGGGAAATGCAGTTCAACCCAAAACAGCAATCTTTCAATTAGAACTCTAATTTTGCTCATTAATTAATCATTTTAATCAAACATCTGTATTATTGGCTATTAATACTTGAATGCATTATTCGGAATTCTACTTATAGTTTCTCTAAAAGTCATTAGAGGGACAAAGTCTATAAAACACTGAAGTAGGAACATAGGAAATTTCCTTTCCTCTTTTTCCATCTGTCCTAAGCTAAGTTTATATTTGTATGCTCTTTCTTTTGACCTTTCATATGATAAATAACTATCTCGAGTTTTCCCACTTGGGTTAATAGCCAGGGTACTAAAGAGAGGAGAAAATAGGCAACAGTTAGTAAATTTTCCAGTTTATTCATGCCTCCCTAGTATCCTAAACTGGGGATGAGTTTCCTATTCACTCACGTAGAATTATTGGCAGGATCATCATCAGTGTTACTCTGGCGCTGCTAATATTCTCTTCTCAGTTCTTTGGTTTTTCCTTAGTCTCTGAGTCCTGATCTGGGCAGATGTCCATTCTGCTCATCCTTCCAGGCAGATGGGGTGTGTTAGCACTGTGTTCATTTCCTCCTCCTCATCTTCCATACTTTTCTTCGTCTTTCCCTTTTAATGGTTCAGAAGAATGCTCACACGCTGTATTATTATCTTTACAGAATAATTGCTCAAAAGAATCTTCCGGCAAACAGTTCTGAACTTGGCCACCTAGCGTGTAGAGCGTGCGGTGGCATCACTGCCTAACAGATTTAGCCACGCATTCCCTGTATTCCTGTATTCCCATGCCTTCTATCAGCAGTTTAAAATTTCTGCTGCTCTTTGATGGTAATGTCAGGTCCAGGTCTCCTCAGATCATGAGTGCCTTTTGGTAAATCCTTGCCTTCCCGTCTGCTGCCATGGACCTTAATTCCTGTCATTTGTGTTGGTCTCTGAACCCAAGTGGGGATTTTCAAGTGACTCATCGGCCCACTCACCCATGAACTGTTATTTGTAGCAAAAACTGGTGAAACTCTTCCTAAACTTATCTACTGTGCTTTTACAAGGTTGTAAAAATTGTTTCTCTATTTCCCTCCACAAATCTTTGTTTGAGGTGCAGACTAGGTTTAGAACTGTGGGTACATTTGCTCCATGAAAACCTGCAGAAGTGATCTTGTGGACCCCTGGGCCCTCCATGTGTGTAGTAATAGAAAGTCCTGGTGAGTGTGCTGGTGTGTGCACTCTGTTCAATTCCGAGGGCCTAATTCTGTCCGTGGAGGTGCCTTTCTTGCTAGGTTAGGGCTCTTCTGGGTTAGCCTTGGCGTTCTCTTTGGCAATTCCTTTGTTTCCTTTGACTATTCTCAAAAGTGCACAGAGAGTAATCCCTTTGCAGGTGTGACTTCTTTGATTTGAGCCAAAATGTTAGGAACATAAGTGTATGGGGGCGAAGGGGGAGGATTCCTGATTCCAACACCTCTGAGGAAGTGCTTAGCAGAAGCCTGCTGGTATTAGAACATCCACGCGGTTAACCTTCTTTTCTCCACACAGATTTAGTATACACTGCCAGACCCGATGAAAGAGCCATAATGACTTATGTTTCCTGTTACTATCATGCTTTTGCTGGTGCACAGAAGGTGAGGATGTAAACCATGAGTCACTGCTCACCCTTCACCTTCTGTGTCTTAATTTTTTTTCAATTGTTTTCCTCTTTTTTCCCCCCTCTCCTCCGAGTAAGGAGACTGTCTGGTTCCCAGGAGGCAGTTGTTTGTCTTTTTTAGTCTAGCTTTCTTTGAAACTTACTTTCTGTTCATGCAGTGGTATGCCGTTCATGTTTGTTTTCTGGAAGATTCTATAGTTACACAACCCCACATCCTTTCTGTTCATAGTCTCTGCAAACCCAATGACTAGGTTTCACCATAGGGAATTGTCAGGTATCTTTTTAACTTCACTCTGACCCATTGACTGACCCAAGTTTATGAACGAGGTTAAAAAGCAACTTACCGAAAAATGGTGTTGCCAAGATGGAGGAAGAAAGGATGTAGGTTTTCATGGTTCTGTTTTCTGTCTTCCTTTTGGCTGTTTCAGCAATTAGTAGAAATAGTAGCGAGTCTTAATAAGCACAAGCCATGTAGACCCTTCTCTTTAGATGTTTTGTTATTCTTGGTGATTTCTATAAGCGGTATGGTAAGTATGTATTGAAGTTATTAAAAGAGCTGCCCTCTCCAGTGAATTTCATCCTCACGCAAGGCACTTTACAGAGTAGAAATCCCCAACAGTTGTTTGGGTGGGGAAGGGGAAGTGGGAAGACAGATAGCCCATTGCAGCCCTGTGAATATTCCCCGCATCTTGCAAAGTGACCTGCGTTCCCCAGAGCAGAGGGGCCGGGTGCCCTGATGCGGTTGGAGGACCGGAGTCACGAGGAAGGGGTAACAAGCTCTGATCTGCAACAGACCAGGTTTCCATGTGAAAGCATTGAATGCACCTTTAAAAGCCCATCAAGGGGTGGGGGAGAAAACAAGCCCTCAGTTTGATCCTTAAAAAACATGCTGGCTCAAACCATCCTGTTCACGAATCATTTCGATACAATATGGCCTTCCTGAGGTTCGGGACCACGGGCCCATGAAACACAGAAATCTGGTCAGTGTAAACCAATTTGTTCTTCCCTCTGTTCTCCCTGGTTTCTCTCCTTCGTCTGTATGTGTGTGGTGTGTGTGTGTGCGCGCGTCCTGTGTTATTTTCTCCCCCTTCAGACATCGTGAACACCCCTAAACCCGATGAAAGAGCCATCATGACGTACGTCTCTTGCTTCTACCACGCTTTTGCGGGCGCGGAGCAGGTACTCAACACTTGTCCGTCCGGGCTGTTGTGTTACTCTCTGTTGGTTTTAGTTGTGTGTGCATACTTGAGTGTGTGTTTGTGCGCTTCACATCTTACCTTGGAATCTTTCTGAGTGTTTTCTAATAACCTCATATGGCAAGTTCTAAACTGTGAAAACTTTTTTTTAACAGCTTTAACTTTAGACAGTTCCTGAAATGTTTTTATGTGTTTTACTTTTAATGCATTTCCTTTATTTCATTAGTAAGTTGTGGAAAGTATTTGTGCTTTAGAAAAAAAATGCCATGAAAATTGAGCCACATGCATTGAATGGTAAAGGGGGAATGTGGCAAGGAGAAATGAATGCCTTTCCAACCCGGCCTTGTTCTCTGCTTAGAAATTGCCTTCACAGTTCCGTGATTTGGTCTAACATCCTTCAAGACTAATCTTATTTTAAGTGAAATAGTGGAGGGGATAACAGAGTTGGAACCTCAAAAAATTTCACATTTCTCAAGACAAATAGCCCAAGGGACCTTGAGGAAGAATGGCCCTCAGCTTTCTGCATATTCACCTGTTTCTGTTCCTCTCCTTGGAGGATCTTGATAGACTGCAGTGGGCGGAGTATGCATTATTTCAGTGACCGCTGTGAAGCCCATCACTGGGAAAGGATGCTAACAGGCTGATGAGGACTTTAAAGGAAAGGCCTGGGGACAGGCTGCGGGCCCAGAAGCCAGTTAGGCAAGCTTCTCTTGTTCCATCAGACAGTTATGGTTCAAGGCGCTTTGCCACTCCTGCCCCAAGTTCCTTTCCACGAAAGATGACAGAGAATTGTGTATTACCTCAATGACTTCTCATCTAGGTTAGACAAAGTCTTAAAGCACACTCAGCTCTGTGGAAGGATCCCCCTCCAGAAAGTTCTACATGTTCATATCAGGAGATGAGGAGGTCTTCAGTGAATTCAAGTGCAATGGTATATCTGGATTTTCCTGCCCCAGTTATTTTTGCCTTGATTTCCAAAGGCTAATGTTATTCAGGGAGTCTCCATCCCATCGTCATGAGATCAGTGGAGAGTTCAGGTGGACATTCAGGGACCCAAGATCTTGGTTTCCTGGACCCAAATATTTCTGTGACTAACTTGCTGGATGTTTACCGAGTTTGTGTTTTAGACTAATGCTCTCTCCCCGTTATTCCCTACAGTCTAATCAGCCTGCCGTGTAAGTCTGTGTGAAAACTGTAACAAAGGTGTGAAATGATTCATAGTACGCATAAGCCATGCCTTCAGTCTGACCGCACCCTAAGCTAGACTCTGCACCGTCTACAGCACGCCACCCTCCTCGTCCCCTCTCATCACCCACCTCGTTCCATGCTGTGTGTGCGCATTCCCGTCGACAGAGCCGTCCTGTTTACCTATTGTGTTTTACAGGCCGAGACAGCGGCTAACAGGATATGTAAGGTTCTTGCTGTGAATCAAGAGAATGAGAGGCTGATGGAAGAATATGAGAGGCTAGCGAGTGAGGTAAAGGAAACTGGTGACCTGCAGTTCTGTCCATCCTCACGCAGGGGCTGAGGCACAGAGGGTGAAAAAATACTCCGTGGGGGCATATATATATATATATATATTTTGCATTTTTCATCTCAGATAGGATGAAAGTAGGAAAATACACTTGATCTCTGAGGTTGTTCCTATTGTAGTAACCTAACTTTTGGCAAAAACATAATCCCCAGTGGTCTTTCCAACGATCCCAAAGCAGAAAGGTATAGTTTGCATGTCTGAAGATAGGAGAATGCGATTCTCTGCTCAGCTCTGCACCTCCAGGGTTGGACACCCCTAGACGACCTTGGGTTACTTGTTTTTTTTTTTTCCTGTTCACTGGCTACCAACATCACATAGGATGCACTCCATATGCAAAAGCCTCACTCCACATAGGGACCCAGTGTCAAAGGAACTGGCCCAGCCTGGTGTGCGGAGCTGGCTCGGGCTCGTGTGTCTGTATAAATACCCAGAGGAAATCTGGGGAAGACAGAGCCCTCCCTGCAGAATATTTGAGCATGAGTTTCTGTGGTGCCTTTCCAGAGCTCTTCAGCTAGACTCTTGGTTAGGACAGCAGTTTCCAGGTTGTTTTTCTTTTCGTTCTTGTTATAGCATACGTAGCGACTACGCAGTATCCTCGCTGCATCTGCACTGTTTTCCCAAATACAAGCATGGGCTGCATGAGGCCCCCAGCCACCTCCTCTCTAAATTGGACTCAAGTACAGTGACACATACTTCAGACCAAATAATTTTTGCCAAGCCTTATTTTTTGCTTTGTTTTGTTTTGTTTTGTTTTCTATGACAGAGTCTTGCTCTCTGGCCCAGGCTGGAGTGCAGTGGGGCAGTCCTGGCGCACTGCAACCTCCGCCCCCAGGGTTCAAGCAATTGTCCTGCCTCAGCCTCCCAAGTAGCTGGGATTACAGGCGTGCACCACCACACCCAGCTAATTTTGTATTTTTAGTAGAGATGGAGTTTCACCGTGGTAGCCTGGCTGGCCTTGAACTCCTGACCTCAGGTGATCCACCCGCCTTGGCCTCCCAAAGTGCCGGGATTATTGGCGTGAGCCACCGCACCTGGCCTTCTTTTTAATTTAGCTGATATTTGGTCTTTATTGGGAAAAGTATCAGGACATTTGGAATAAATGTTCCAATAAATAGTAGTGTAACTTTATGATACTGAGTTCATATCTTCATACTGCTGCTATAGAAAAATTAAGCTTGATGGCATTGTTGAATGGCAGTGACAGGGTTGCCAGACATGAAGCATGGCCAGTACTGAAGGCCAGAGGATCCTTAGGAATTCAATTCTTCCTTTTCTTACTGGGTCCTTCATTTATCCTCCTAAAACCCTTAGACTCTAGGTATATCACCATTTAAACTATTTTTCATTCGAATCTGCTGTCATTTTCCAAGTGCTCAGTAGGCATAAGTGTAAATGATGGGGTTTTCAGCAAGTCATTTCTAAGACCTAGGTAGTAATTCAAGAGGTGCATGTGTATTTTGTCCTTAGGGATTCACTACCACGTTCGCTTTTATCATGCAGATTTACTTAAAAGCTAGACGTCAAAATACACTTTGGCATTGAGTTAGGCCCAGGCTTACAATACAGTTGTGTAGTAAGTAATCTAATTAGATTTGAGCTTATTTTTTAAAAACACATTTTAAGTGAAATCCAGTTCTTTGCTGAATTTATTACACTACAGTTCTGCCATGTCAAGTATTTTGGGGTTGTTTTGTTTTGTTTTTTGTTTTTTTAATTTGAAAGCTCCATCCAGCATTTGTCTGCTAATGTCTGGTCCCTGAGTTTCTTGTAAACGTCACATTTTTGTAAGACACGACTTTACGTGCTCACTTTAAGTTTTCGACCTGTGTTTGGTATCGTTGGGGTGATCACTCGCGGCCATGGGCGGACACTGAACATCTCGTTCATGCCTCTGTGCGTAGAGGTACCACATCTCAGTGATTTTAGGAACATTCATCCTTTACAAATTATTGGATGCCTCATTTTTTTTTTTTAACTGGGGGAGGGGGCTTGCTGGTGTCTTCAGCAGTATTTTTGTGTTTGCGGAGCAGCTTTTGGAATGGATTCGTCGCACGATCCCCTGGCTGGAGAACCGGACTCCCGAGAAGACCATGCAAGCCATGCAGAAGAAGCTGGAGGACTTCCGGGATTACCGCCGGAAGCACAAGCCACCCAAGGTGCAGGAGAAATGCCAGCTGGAGATCAACTTCAACACGCTGCAGACCAAGCTGCGGATCAGCAACCGTCCTGCCTTCATGCCCTCCGAGGGCAAGATGGTGTCGGTGAGTAGCAAGCGCCAAGCCCTCCTGGCGCCACGGGAAGCCCTCCTTCTAGCCTAAAGGCGTTTGACCTGGGTCAGGAGGAGGCATTGACTTCTTGAATCTTTTTAGTTGTGTGAATATCATTTTGGCCCTGTAACCACTTTGTTCTTAATACTTTTCTCCCAACCATCATGTACTTCTTGAATCCAGCTGCCACTGGGGTACAGTGTCCCACAAAGAGCAGACCTTTAGGAAACGCTCGATGAACAGCCTCTTTCTCTCGTCCCTCCTCATGGCCTTGGCCCCTCATGTCCACCAGCATCTAGATCATGTGTCTTCTGTTCCCTGCTGTTACAAGCTACCCATCTCACCTTCGCAAAGTCTGAGTCCTCCATTTATCTCCCTCTCTTCCACATTGTCACTTTCTCCCTCTCCACCGAATCATGCACACCAGCATACAAAAGTGCTGTCAAATCTGCCAGTCACAAGCTAAAACCAAGGACTCCACATCTCCCACGAGCAACTTCTTGGCTCCCCTTCACAGCAAAACATCTAGAAGGAGTTCTTTGTGGTACCTATTTCCGCTCCCTCCCCACTCACTCACTCACTTTTTTTTTTTGGAGACGGAGTCTCACTCTGTCACCCAGGCTGCAGTGCAGTGGCGTGATCTCAGCTCACTGCAAGCTCCGCCTCCCGGGTTCAAGCAATTCTCCTGCCTCAGCCTCCTGAGTAGCTGGGATTACAGGTGCCCGCCACCACGCCCGGCTAATTTTTGTATTTTTAGTAGAGAAGGGGTTTCACCATGTTGGTCAGGCTGGTCTTGAACTCCTGACCTCAGGTGATCCGCCCGCCTCGGCCTCCCAAAGTGCTGGGATGACAGGCGTGAGCCACCACGCCCAGCCCCAACTCACTCACTTCTCTTACCCTTCAACTTGCAGTAAACTGGCTTCTGTCCCTGCTTCCACCAAGAATGTTCTTGCCAAAGTCAATGGCATTCATGTTGTCAGAGCAAGTCATTTTTATTTTTATTTTTATTTTTGAGACAGAGTCTCACTTTGTTGCCCAGGCTGGAGTGCAGTGGCACGATCTCGGCTCACTGCAACCTCTGCCTCCCGAGTTCAAGCAATTCTCCTGCCTCAGCTTCCCAGGTAGCTGGGATTACTGGTGCCCGCCACCACGGCCAGCTAATTTTTGTAATTTTAGTAGAGGTGGGGTTTCACCATATTGGCCAGGCTGGTCTCGAACTCCTGACCTTGTGATCCACCCACCTCGGCCTCCCAAAGTGCTGGGATCATTTTTATTTTTACATTCTCAGTTTTTTTGGCCCAGCTGCCCATTTCCCCATTCTTGAAGTTCTTCCTACTTTGGCCCTCCTGTTTCTTCCTCCTTCACCAGCGAGGCCTTCTCCATCTCTGTTCAAGGCCTTGCCTCCTCCCTCTACCTGTAGATGTTGGTGATTCTCAGGCTTGGTGCTGAGCCCTCTTCATCTTTATACCCTCCAGGTGATCTCATCCAGGCCCATGGCTTGTTTTTTCTTTTTCCTTTTTTTTAAAAACATGGTCATGCTCTGTCACCCAGATTGGAGTGCAGTGGCACAATCACAGCTCACTGCAGCCTTAATCTCCTGGGCTCAAGTGATCCTCCCACCTCAACATCCTGAGTAGCTGGGACTACACGCACATCCCACCATGCCTGGCTAATTATTTCTTTGCAGAGATGGGGTCTTGCTGTGTTGCCAGGGGCGGCCCAAACTCCTGGGCTCAAGCGATCCTCCCACCTCAGCCTCCCAAAGTGCTGGGATTATAGGCATGAGCGAGCATGCCTGGGCGGGCCCATGGTTTTAATTGCCACCTAAATGCCAATACCTCTCAAATTTTACATTTCCAGCTCTGACTTTTCCCCAAATTCCAGGCCAGTATATCCACCTGGATATATTATAGCATATTAAACTGAACATATCCAAAAGAGTTCCTCCCGGTTTCCTCGATCCTAGTAAATTCTATCACTGTCCTCTAAGTTGCCAACCCCCAAACCCAGGTTTCATCCTTGATTCTTCCCTTTCTGTCACTTTCTTACATCCAGTTCTTCAGCCAGTCCCATTGGCTCTTCTTCCAGAATACATCGTAAGTAAATGCTCTTAATCCCCTTCTCTTTACCTCCACGGCCACTGGCCTATCCTAAGCCACCATTCTCTCTCCTTGGACCCTGCAAGTAACTGCTGACCGGTTCTTCTTTTTCTTTTGCCCCTTAAAATTCATCCCGCCTACATCAGCCTCTGTCGTCTTTTAAAAATGTGAATCAGATCTCATCTCCTTTCTTCTCAAAACCCTCCAGTGACTCCCCAAAGTATTGAGAGTAAAATCCATTTTCATTATCCTGGCCTATAAGGGCCTGCATGCTTGCCAAACGCATCTCTCCCTCTGCCCTGAGGCACTCCACCGCTGCCACACCCCCTGCCTGCCGTCCTTCCCGCACGCACAGCACATCCCCTCTTGGGCGTTCGAGTTTTTTCCCCTTGCCCAGGAGCCCTCGTTTCCTACTTCCTCACATCACTGTCTTTTTCTGTCATTGAGGACTCAGCTCAAATGCCCCCTCCTCGGAGGGGTCTTCTGTAAGTAACCTGCCACAGGGACCACCCTGACGGGCAGGGCTGGCAGTATCCCTTGACCCTGCTTTTTTTTTCCCATACGGCATTTTGTTTATCGCTTTCCGAAATGAACTTGCTTAAGTACTTAATGACTGTCTCTCTCCCCCAACCACCATGGAAGCTGCATGGGAACTTTAGAGGTGTTGTTTACCCTTACAGAGTTTCTCACTAGTGCCTGGTACATGCTAGATGCCCAGTAATTAGTTGTTGATGGCTGGCTGGCTGAACAATTCACCCCAGTCACTGAATAAGAGTTGTTTTGGAAGCCAGGTGTGGTGGCACATGCCTGTAATCCCGGCTACAGGGGAGGCCGAGGTGGGAGGATTGCCAGAGCCCAAGAGTTAGAGAACAGCAACATAGCGAGACTCCATTTCTTTAAAAAAAAACAAAACAATAATCATAATAAAAGGGTTGTTTTGAACTGAGTCATCTTGAGGCTTTATCTTCTTGTAGCCAGAAATTGTCAGCCCTCTACATCTTTGTCCACATCTGGAGAAGTGTCAGGATCGCTGATAACAACTATGTTAGTCTTAAAAGATCCCAGTGAATTGTAATTAAGACATTTGGAAGCCAAATAATTGAATGGTTATTGAGGTGGGGGGTAAGGAAGGAAAAGAAAACAAAAGGAAAACACCATCAAAATGTAGTGGAGGGATTTATAGAAGAAGCCTGAGAGGCCAGAATGTAACGAAGGTGCTTGTTACACATTTGCTTCCCTTGGCTTCCAACCATCCCAGGATATTGCTGGTGCCTGGCAGAGGCTGGAGCAGGCTGAGAAGGGTTACGAGGAGTGGTTGCTCAATGAGATTCGGAGACTGGAGCGCTTGGAACACCTGGCTGAGAAGTTCAGGCAGAAGGCCTCAACGCACGAGACTTGGGCTTATGGTAAGTAGACAGGAGTCAGATTGGATTTTTGAAAAACCAGAGTTGAGCCATGCCCAGAGCCATGATGCATCCTTACTAACTCTGTGCCTAATGTCTGTGACACTAAAGGTAGGTGTCGTCACCTTTCTCTGCTCTTGTCTCAGTGCCAAATTTATTTAAGAGGTAGGCATGAAAATTTAGTTTCTAATCACGCAGGTAATCTATTTCTTCCCAAAATGGCACCCAAAATGTGTTCTTTACATACCTACCTACATAAGGCCTGGCCTCCTTCCATGTTTTCTGTTTGATTCCACAAGTATCCACTCATTCCCTAACTGGTAGTCAGATAGCCCTGGGCCAACCACTAGCCTCTGCCAGTAGAATATATATTAAATGCCACAGAGCAACATAATATCCTATGTAGAAAATCTGGGAGGGAGGATGCAAGATATCATGTATAATCTAACTTTCTTATTTCACTTGCATTCATCTACTTTTTTCAGGCCTTACACACATGCCGGTTTCCATAGACATAAGAATATGGCCCTTTTTTTTTTTTTTTAGCTGTCTCCTGGACTAAATAGTCCTTCTTGCCAAGGCAGAAGAATAAAGCATTTTCCCCATCACATAATAATCTGTTTTGAGATTGGGGAGATTTTTCCTCATTCTATGGTTTTTGCTTTTATTGTTGCTTGATTTTTAATATTTCATAGACAGGTAGTTACAAGCAAGGAAGCTGGAGCCAGGTGGGTTGGAGGCACAGTTCTGATGCATAGCAGCTGTGTGCCCCGGATGAATTCTTAATCTAGCAGGGCTTCAGTGTCCTCTTCGAAATGGGAATCACCGTAAGACCTCCCTCATAGGGTTTCTATGAAGATTTAATGAGTTCGTATTTAGAAAGCATTTAGAGTAGCGTCTAGTACACAGTAAGTGGTACATCGTCATCATTAAATACATGAACATTTGCTTTCCACTTCCAATTTCATAGAATTCTTAAAGGTCATTAGCCAGGGGATAAATGTGGATCCACTCGTGACCACAGCAGTTACTGGATTTAAGAAATATTTATATGGGAAAATGTAAGTGGAGGGTCAGAGAGGAAAATTTCTAATATTTATTATCAGGAAAAACAAAGCACAGGCTCCATTTAAGCACACAGAGTATAGCTTTCAAACAAAAGGAACTAGGGTGGGGTAGGACTCATGGATAGACAAATGGAGCACCGGGGTTTTATCTAAGCATCCCTGGTAGCTCTTGGGAGTGAATAATTAGTAACTTAACTGAGGATCATGCAGGAATCAGATACTTGTGACTTAGAATGATGAAGACTACAAATTGGTTTTTTTCTAAAAACGCACTCAGCATGCTCTCCTTTCCCCTTTATTTGGAGACACGAGCTTTCAAAACTGAGAAGGGGCTGGGGCATCCTCAGCAGGTAACAGCCTGAATTCCATCACAACCCTGGCCTGCATCTTCAGTCCTGCCCCTCTCTGTCCCCTTCTCTTGGTTCTTTGGAATCTCACCGCTCCCTGAGAATGTGGCTGGCATGAGGAAGCCGCTGTGCCCTCAGCATATTCATACTTTCTTGCTACCACCTTTGCAGGCAAAGAGCAGATCTTGCTGCAGAAGGATTACGAGTCGGCGTCGCTGACAGAGGTGCGGGCTCTGCTGCGGAAGCACGAGGCGTTCGAGAGCGACCTGGCAGCGCACCAGGACCGCGTGGAGCAGATCGCAGCCATCGCGCAGGAGCTCAAGTATGTGCAGATGCCCTCCGTCCTCCCGGGAGCCCCTGGGATTCCACAGAGAGGGGAGAGAAAGGCCTGCCTTGCCTTTCCTGACTAAACGCAGAGGGAACCACGCTGGAGGCACTCTGTGCAGGGATTCTCCTTGTTTCTTTAAATGTAGAAACAGATTTTGGTTCTTAGATTGTGGTAGAATCCCTATGTCCTACCATCCAGCAGCACCCCGGCCCTCAGCACAGGCAGCTCCGCTTCCAGCAAGATGAGAAATAAGTCTGGAATATTGGGGCCCAGAAAGCTATGGGAAGGCGGCCTCACCCAGGCCAGGTGCAAGAAGCAGAATATAGCCTGTCCTGAAATCAACATAAAACCAAGCAAAACAGAGGGCACTGGCCGGGCGCGGTGGCTCACGCCTGTAATCCCAGCACTTTGGGAGGCTGAGGCGGGCGAATCATGAGGTCAGGAGATCGAGACCATCCTGGCTAACACGGTGAAACCCCGTCTCTACTAAAAATGCAAAAAATTAGCCGGGCCTGGTGGCGGGTGCCTGTAGTCCCAGCTGCTCGGGAGGCTGAGGCAGGAGAATGGTGTGAACCCAGGAGGCGGAGCTTGCAGTGAGCCGAGATCGCGCCACTGCACTCCAGCCTGGGCGACAGAGCGGGACTCCGTCTCAAAAAAACAAAAAACAAAACAAAATAAAACAAAAAAGTGGGCACTGCCTCACGTGTGCAGAAGAGACGTCAGGACCCCACTTTGCTTTATCATCCCCTAAGTGCTGTTTCACTTTCATGCGTTTGGTTTTATGGGAAGAACTGACACGACATTTGAGCCTAGGCTGGATTTGGCACGGAGTGAATGTTCTCAGTTCCCGCTCTGTGTAGTGTGAGCCCTGGGGTGCGGCTGCCCTCAGGGAGAAGAGCCTCCATGCCGTGTTTCTGAGCTTTCTTCAGGTCCTTTTCCCTTGTAATAAAGACAACATTTTATTTCCTACTCCTTTCCCCACCATTATAATCACTGATACATCTGTAGAATGTTTAGAGCCTGTCACATAATGGTAACTTCAAAAATTAAATAATAAAAATTTATTTCAATATATTACGTTTTAAAACTGCCACGTTCTGGCTGGGCACAGTGGCTCACGCCTGTAACCCCAGCACTTTGGGAGGCTGAGGTGGGCTGATCACGAGGTCAGGAGATCAAGACCATCCTGGCTAACACGGTGAAACCCCGTATCTACTAAAAATACAAAAAAAAATTAGCCAGGCATGGTGGCGGGCACCTGTAGTCCCAACTACTCAGGAGGCTGAGGCAGGAGAATGGTGTGAACCCGGGAGGCGGAACTTGCAGTGAGCCGAGATCAGGCCACTGCACTCCAGCCTGGGCGACAGAGCAAGACTCCATCTCAAAAAAAAAAAAAAAAAAGAAAGAAAAAAAAAAAGAAAACGAACTTAAGCTTTAAGAAAATGGATTTGGTAGGGTAGGAGGGGACTTTTCAAAGTTGTCTAATCCTGGACTGTTTTTGAAGCAGCCTCCTGAAGATGTCTTTAAACTTCCATGGTTCTTGATTTATATCTGAATGAAAAAGGTGATTAAGTTTTGTACAGGATTCAAACTTGTTATCCCTGGAGGTACTGGGTTAAGCTTCTAGTTAAGAATTTGCTTTAGGTTGGGTGCAGTGGCTTATACCTGTAATCCTTGTACTTTGGGAGGCTGAGGAGGTAGGACTGCTTGAGACCAGGAGTTCGAGACCAGCCTGGCAACACAGCAAGACTCCATCTCTAAAAAATTTTTGAAAAGAGCCGGGTGTAGTGGCACATGCCTGTAGTCCCAGCTACTTGGGAGCCTAAGACAGGAGGATCACTTGAGCCTAAGAGTCTGAGGCTGTAATAACGTATGATCACCCCCACTGCACTCCAGCTTGGATGACAAAGCAAGACCCTGTCTCAAAAAAAAAAAAAAAATTGCTTCAGTGGTGTGCACAGAAAGACCCCAGGTAGAATGCATAGATGGATCTGGCAAGGAAAAGTAAGGATTTAGTGAGAAATCATTTTGCCCTTGCTTGTCACTCTAGTGGCATTAGATGAGTCAGAACCTTTCTGTCTCTAAGTGGAAGGGCTCAGTTCGGCCCCATTTCAGAAATCCCGCTATGTTAGATAAAGTCATGGTGCCATTCTGGACCTGATACTCTACCCAGTGGTGAGGCCAAGTGCCCTTCTAGGGAAGCCAAGGACACAATGTGGCGCAGGCTGACTCTTCCCTCCCCAGTCACTGTGGCTGCATCCTGGCCCACAGGACTGTCCTCCAGGTCAGAGAGTGATGTCTTCCGACCTTCACTCATAGGGACATTGCCACTTAGAAATAATGCTCTCTGGGGGCCTCTCCAAGAAAAGGAAGGGGAAATAAATTGAGCCTGCGGCATTAAGAAGACAACGGTTCTCTCTGTTTAGAAATCTGTTGGCCAGCGAAAGTTTTATGAATTCTTCTTGTGATTTATCTGAGAGGAGTGATGTTTACAGTGATGACAGTTAACAAAACCCTGAAATACCATCCCAGTTCTCTATCAGATTTTTATTTTTTATTTCTTTTATGTGTATAAATGTAGGTGGGGTGGGGCACAAGTGCAGTTTTGCTACATGTGGCCAAGTCAGGGTTTTTAGGGTAGACATCACCCAAATAACATACATTGTATGAAATCACACTAAGTAATTTTTCATCATCCACCTACCCTTCCACCCCCTCACCCTTCTGAGCCTCCACTGTCTATCAGCCCACTCTCTATGTCCATGTGGATACATTTCAGATGTTTTTGTTTTTAAACTTCCCTGTTATTTTTCTTTTTTAGCCCATGTTCATTTTCTCTCATCATCTGGGAAAGTTAATCTTTATTTATTTTCACTTTTAATAGTGAACTGGACTATCACGACGCTGTGAATGTCAATGATCGGTGCCAGAAAATTTGTGACCAGTGGGACCGACTGGGAACGCTTACTCAGAAGAGGAGAGAAGCCCTAGAGGTGAAGTATTGAAGCCACTTGTTGACATGAAATCTTTTAATAGAAGCTCTTTAATTAAATCACTGGTATTCATTGTGTGTTTCTCTGTGGCATGAAACAGGTTGCCTAGTGAAAGGAACCTCTAAAGAAAACATGAAAAGTGGAAGAAAGAGGGAAATGGGAAGTTGGGAGCTTTGTGCTGTAATTTATCCAGACAGCAGCGAAGTATATTTTTCAATTTTAAAAAATCCAGGGGTGATGAGATTACGGCATAAATCTACTTTGTATCTGGTAGTAACAGTACGTTTCCAAAAGTCCTTCTACCTGAGTAAATTGAGCTGTGAGTGAGTCGGGAAATCAGAGATGTGCAAAGGGAAGATGGAACCAAGTGTTGAAGTGAGTACATTGATAGGAAACAGAATTGGGACGAATTTGGCCTTATTTAAGTGTAAGACTAAGTGTAAGACACAGTGGGTATCTTGTGTTTAACTGCCCCTAATTGTCTTTAACCATGGAAGACATCTCCCACGTGAGAGAAACCAGCAGTTTACCAGTTCCCTGAGTCTTTTCTGCTTGACTCTGATGATACTTTTGAGATAACCCAATATCAAGCTTCCCAAATGCCAAATGGCTGTGACATATCTGCTTAAAGAAAGAGATGTCAAGAGAAAGACCAGACATGTAACAGAGACAGCACAAAACATTTTAGAACAGGAGGGAAAAATGAACCTAATTATGGAAGGCTTAAAGCTACGGAGATGCCTTCCCCTTCTGCCCCCACTTGTCTGCCATGGGAAACAAGCGCAGGATCATCCTGTTGCTTGAAATCTTGTGCTTTCATATGCCCAGAAAGGCAAGAGGTGATCTGTGTTAAATCCTGAATGAGGATTTGAGAGCATGAACCTGCAGTTCCTTCTCTCTCCATTAGGTAGGTGACTTTGGGAAAGGCACACAACTTCTCTGCACATGTTGACTCTAAAACGTGGAAGATGCCCTGCATTTTCTGTTAATCTGGCACAGTTAGGGAATCAGGTCCTCTTATAAAGTCCTGCTTTAGCTGAAAGCAAGTTACAGTATGCCGTATGTGGAGTCTCAGTTTTCAGAAAAGTAGCATGTAGTGAAGTACTTTAGACACTTTAAAAATGAGGCTGCTCTGGATGTTATGAAATCCTTCTTTGATTCAGAAGGCACCTCAGAGACCTGCAGGGCTCAGCCTAATTGTTTGAGCATCGGGTAATCTTTTGTAGACACATGCTAATACGATTAACAGAATATCAGAGAATAGTCTGTTCTTATGGAACGCCTACTTACACTTTCAGTGAATTTTTTAATTAGTCTATGATAATGCTTGCTTCTCTTTATTCTTTAGAGAATGGAGAAATTGCTAGAAACCATTGATCAGCTTCACCTGGAGTTTGCCAAGAGGGCTGCTCCTTTCAACAATTGGATGGAGGGCGCTATGGAGGATCTGCAAGATATGTTCATTGTCCACAGCATTGAGGAGATCCAGGTAATGGAACCGCAACTCTGTATGCCCTATGCATTAGAAGTGAGTTGTCATTTAAACTTAAGAGTCCTGTTATTTGGTTTCTTGTTTTCTTGCTTTAAAAAAAAATTAACAAATGTGGCTAGAAAGCCCAAATTACCCTTGAACCTTAGCTTAAAAATGTGTTTAGTACTCTGTGTTGCAAACCCGTTAAAATCAATCAAGTAATGGTGAATGTGTCTCAGAAGCTCTGTTCTTTAAAAAAGAATGCTGAGGCTGGGCGCAGTGGTTCATGCTTATAATTCCAGCACTTGGGGAGGCTGAGGCGGGTGGATTGCTTGAGCTCAGGTGTTCGAGACCAGCCTGGCCAATGTGGCAAAACCCCGTCTCTACAAAAAATACAAAAAAAAATTAGCTGGGTGTGGTGGTGCACGCCTGGAGTCCCAGCTACTGGGAAGGCTGAGGTGGGAGGATCGCTTGAGCCTGGGAGGCAGAGGTTGCAGTGAGCCAAGATCACGCCATTGGACTCCATCCTGGGTAACAGAGTGAGACCCTGTCTCAACAACAACAACAACAACAACGACAACTACAACTACAACAACTGCTGCATCATTGAGCAAAATAAACATATGTGCTCTTGGAGTTATTCATGAAAAAGTTGTAAGTGTACTAGCTGCTGAGTTAACTACTTTGCAAACGTGTGCATATTACTGTTTATTTAGATCTACAGAGTTTTTTGCCAGATTGTAAACCATAAGAAGCCACAAATCAGCACCTACCTTTTGCCTACTGCCAATCTAAAATGTTCTGCTTATAGTTTTTTCTGGAACTTCAGAACTATAAACAAAGCTTCTAAGTGGTGACGTTAGGGAGGAAAGTTAATCTCGGTTAGCCAGGACATAATTTATTTAGAGAATTTGTACAGTGAATTTGATGTATAATAGAATAAAAAGAGAAAATACTTTTTACTCTTTTTTTTCTGTAAAATAGATATGTCATCAAAAAGAATCCAAGTAGAAAGGAAATCCTGAAGGTTGGGATTTGAAACCACACCTCCCTACCAGGAGCCGTCTAGAAGGGTTTGCACCTGCACGCCAGGGGAAAGAAAGTGCTTCCATGAACATTGGAGTTGCCTTTTGAAAGAGGCTCCGATGGTGTTTCCTGCGTGCACTCTTAAGCACAGGCCAACAGTCTAAAATCGTTTATTTTTGGAATAAGTGAGACCTCTAAGCACGCCTTGGAAGTCACACTCTTTGTCAAAGCTCTGTTGGCAGCTGACCTGTTGCTGCACCTAAAGAGAACAGTAGCTTCACACTCAAAGGTGCTCCACGAGGCAGTGAGGTCTTTGAGCCGCTGAATTTGTGGGGCTGCTCATGTTCAGGTCAAAGAATAGGTTTGATAAATGGCTCTTTAGAGAGCCTTCTGGGAAGAGTTGGTTTCTGTGACCTTTTCTTTTTGAGGAATAGGGATGTACTTCCTGGTTTTCTTTAGATATAATGGTAGCAAATGTTAGATGCTTTTGTAGGACTGCAAAGGTAACACTGGCCATTAGAAAGGGCATCTAAGGGCTGAGCATGGTGGCTCATACCTGTAATCCCAACACTTTGGGAGGCCAGGCGGGGAGGATCACTTGAGGCCAGGAGTTTGAGACCAACCTGGGCAACATAATGAGACCCTGTCTCTGCAAAAGATAAAAAAATTAGCCAGGCATCATGATGTATGCCCTATAGTCCCAGCTACTCAGGAGACTGAGGCAGGAGGATTACTTGAGCCCAAGTGTTCAAGGCTGCAGTGAGCCATGATTGCACCACTGCACTCCAGCCTGAGTGACCTAGCGAGACCCTGTCTCAAAAAAAAAAAAAAAAAAAAAAAAAAGGAAGTGCCGCTAAGTTAAGTTCTGCTCGTCAGCAGAAAATAAGAAAGACCTAAACAATAGCTGGTGATCAAAATCAGTGAAAGGAAAACTGATTAAAAAAAATTATTTTTTAAAAGACTCTACATGAATAGCCACCAATATTATTAATAGTCATCATGACATCCTTTTTCCATTTTCCAGGAACTTGACTTCTGTGTACCTAAAGAGTTTTTTCTAAAGCATTCAGAATGTGTTTTTCTCCAGAGACTCTTGCAATCATCAAGGCATTTACTTGTGTGCGGAAAGGAATATCAAAGCCTTTGAAATTAACACTCAAGCCACATTGTTTTTCTCCACTTGTGTCTCGGGTGTAGAGTCTGATCACTGCGCATGAGCAGTTCAAGGCCACGCTGCCCGAGGCGGACGGAGAGCGGCAGTCCATCATGGCCATCCAGAACGAGGTGGAGAAGGTGATTCAGAGCTACAACATCAGAATCAGCTCAAGCAACCCGTACAGCACTGTCACCATGGATGAGCTCCGGACCAAGTGGGACAAGGTGGGTGGCTGAGGGCCTGGTGTGGGACCAGGGGGCATTCTTGAAGCTGACGTCGAAGGAGGAAGTTAACGCCTCGGGGACTTAGGGTGACGGCCTCATTTTGCATCATGATCAGGATTTTCCTTTATCCCAAATTTCACAGGCAAAACGTGACAAACTCTTAAGGACCCTTCAGCAGCGTCTGCAGTTTGTGGGGAAAGAAAGCAGAGATTATTTTACTTAAGGAAAATCTTATAAATGTTGACACAACCACTGTAGGTTATGATCCTAATACCATAAAGGAAATGGTTTTTAAAGCCCCAACTGGAAATTTGGTTAAAAACTTGGTTACAAGTACTTACAGTACTTTTTAAAAGAATTTTTAGAATATGATATAGACATGTCCCAGATGTGTATGAATTTTAAATGCAGAAAAATTGCTTAGAAAACGACATCTTGGGAATGAAAGTATTCTTACTAACTTGCAGCCTTTTAAATTTGGGGCAACTATCGACAAATGTAATTATGGTCCAAATGGGATAATTTGAGCCCTTTTGTCTGATTTTTAAGATTGGGACATTTCTTTTCATGGTTGAAATTATAGCACAATTAGTCATCTCAGTATGCCAATCATAGTCTTTGAGGAATAAGTCCACCACGTGGGTCTGAAGTGGCTTTTACTATAAAAACACACGTGCTGCAAGTTAGTTATAAACAGCGCAAAAGACAAAAACAGGTATGAGGAAAAGGAAAGTATTTATCCGAGAAACAGTAGTTAATTAGTGCATCTGAGCTTTAAATTTAGCTCTGGTCTTCCTAACGAACACCCAAAGAGAGACAGGAAACAAACTGATTTAAGTAGTTTTCTTGCGGGGGTGGGGGCGGGGGGAGGAAATATATCATTTTTTATTTTTCGTTTTTATTATGTTTATTTTTTTGAGACAGAGTCTCACTC
Organism: Homo sapiens; assembly: GCF_000001405.40. Taxonomy (NCBI): domain Eukaryota; kingdom Metazoa; phylum Chordata; class Mammalia; order Primates; family Hominidae; genus Homo; species Homo sapiens. The sequence continues at coordinate 236,752,587 of NC_000001.11, forward strand.
TGTTGCCCAGGCTAGAGTGCAGAGGCAAAATCTCGGCTCATTGCAACCTCTTCCTCGTGGGTTCAAGTGATTTTCCTGTCTCAGCCTCCCTAATAGCTGGGATTACAGGTGCCCGCCACCACGCCTGGCTAATTTTTTATATTTTTGATAGAGATGAGGTTTCACTATGTTGGCCAGGCTGGTCTCAAACTCCTGACGTCAGGTGATCCACCCACCTCAGCCTCCCAAAGTGCTGGGATTACAGGTGTGAGCCGTCACGCCTGGGCAGAAATATATCATTTTTTAAAGTGAGACAAACTTTTCTCCCATCAGTAAGTTATAAAGCAAATGGATTTTTGTTAAAGAAAACAAAAAGACAATAATAATGCTTTTAGTAGCAGTTTTGCAGATGACACAAAGAAAGATTTTTGAAGTAGTTTTTTCTCTTCCATTGATTGAAAGAGAATGGAGGCATAGCATTAAAATGTAACTCACAAATGGAACAGAAAGCAGGTAGACAGGTGTATACTCTTCTGTGGGCCAACAAGGTATAAGAATCGAACTCATGAACCCAGCATGGGCTCTTCACATTTTGGTGTCATGAACCCGTCTGGCAGTCTGGGGAAGCCTGTGGATTCCTTCTGATAATAATGTTTGTAAACTTATAAAAATATTTAATATTACCAAGGAAACAAATTATATTGAAATGTAGTTATTCAAATATCTTTAAAGTTATTGTCATGTATATGCTTCTTTACTAACACGTTTAAAACCAAGAACTAACAGCAGGTCCAATAATTTTGGAGTAGGGCTGAGTGTACGTGATATTTGTTGCAAGAGGCAGGCATAACCGTAACGTTAGTATGGAATGTCTATGATTTATGCTGTGATAAGGTCACAGGGACTACTAAATACTGCTGCAGATTTGCTGTCCACGTCATTCATAAACAAAGGGAGTGCTACATTTTAATCCGAGATGGTGAAAATAAACACGCCAGTGTTCCCTGCATCCAAGTTCACAAATCCTCTGTACTCTGGACCTGGCCCTGACTTAGTTGTGCAGCAGGCCTAGAGCCTCTGGCTGGAGGAGAATGGTCGCTGCTCCTAATGCAGGCTCTTAAATACCCTCCAGCTCATCCTGTCTTTCAGCAGGCACTTGGTGGCACTAGATGGCAGTCAAAGCTAAATCAAGCTCATCCTGTAGTCCCTAGACTAGGGACTCCTCCTCCCTATCCTCCCTCTTCCTTCCCCCTACACCCTCCTCCCTTCGTTTCTCCTTCTCCACTCCCACCCCCACCCCTTGGACTATTCCCGCATTCTGTGGTTGTTCCTATGAGACCACAGCTGGCCTCTAACCCTTGTTGTCCTTGGGCCCTGACAGGTGAAGCAACTCGTGCCCATCCGCGATCAATCCCTGCAGGAGGAGCTGGCTCGCCAGCATGCTAACGAGCGTCTGAGGCGCCAGTTTGCTGCCCAAGCCAATGCCATTGGGCCCTGGATCCAGAACAAGATGGAGGTAAGCCAGCGCCCTCCCAGGCGCTGTTCACAAGCCTTGCGATAAGTCCCTTTAGCCACGCAGCAGTGACACCGCACATGCTGTGGTTTCCAGCCACCCACTCAGTCAGGTGGGAGCACCGTTCTGTTATCACCCCGGCTTTATCTTTCAGCCCCTGGCTGTTGGGGACAGTGTGCAAACCAGAGCACAATATGGAATGCAGGAAGGCGGCACTCAAGGAAGGGGAGGGGGGTCTTGCTGGGTTCTGTTTATTTTCTCACTAAAAATGGTGACAGGGCTTTCTCCGTTTTTGGCCTCTGCAGGGCCTGGATTTCAAACCATCTATCCCTACAAGGAGGACACGTGAAGGCCCACAAATACTTTGCATTTTCAGAACATTTCAGGGACAGTGGTCTTTAAGTAACCCTGTTGTCCTTTGATCACCAAGAACAGCCAGGAGACATTTATTGACCCACTTATTTCTTGTCCCACCACCCTTTTGGTGTTGAAATATTGACTTTTTTCTTAAAGCGGAGACCATGTAAAAATATAAGAAATTCTGATGGAGGAAGCATCCCGTGGGTCTTCAATCTGTCTGGCAGCTCCACCCAGGCAGCCCACCCCCAGCCTCCTCCAGAGCAGGGTAGCTCTGCCCGAGGGCGTTTCCTTCCCACAGCAAGAAGCTGAAGGACTTATCTCTGACCCCTCTTGCCTCTCTGTTTTGGATCTTGGTTGACTTTTTCCTCATTTTCTAGACAGACTAGAACTAGACCTTGTTTTGTTCTGCGATGCTACCCAGTCCCCACTTCCTCTGAGAAAAGTGAACCGAGTGACACTGGCCGCTGCCTGACGCTGGCCTAGCATCCCATGCAGGGTCTGGAACGGCGCCTCGTGCCGAGCTCCCTTAGAGGGCACTTCACTCTGCTTCTCTCTCTGCTTGCTCACTCGCCCCCCTCAGGAGATTGCCCGGAGCTCCATCCAGATCACAGGAGCCCTGGAAGACCAGATGAACCAGCTGAAGCAGTATGAGCACAACATCATCAACTATAAGAACAACATCGACAAGCTGGAGGGAGACCATCAGCTCATCCAGGAGGCCCTTGTCTTTGACAACAAGCACACGAACTACACGATGGAGGTACGGCAGCCAGACAGGCGTGTGCCGCTCACTTCTCACGGGGACCATGCCACCTCCTCAGGGTGCTTTCTTCATGCACTTGTCTTTCTTTGTTCCTGTTAAGACCTACAAGTATGAAAGTTAGGGATCTTTAAGCCTTTCCAGTCACTATTTGTGGAAATGCTTCGTGAGCTATATCGAGGACTATATGGTATTACCAACAGTGACATTATCATTATTATTATCACCACCATAAATTCACTACACTTCTTCAAGGTGAGTGCCAGAAACTGGACTGTTGCATTTCTGCCAGTTAGGCCCAAATTGATCTCCCTGGGAGCCAGCAGGTATAACTCAGGGCTCATCCTGCTACTTGGTAAATGGGAAAATATTTTTAGTGACAAACAAGAGTATATACTGCAGAGTGCCCGCTGCCACTGTTAGAATCCTGATAATATACTGCAGAGTGCCCACTGCCACCGTTAGAACCCTGGTAATAGAGTATATACTGCAGAGGGCCCGCTGCCACTGTTAGAACCCTGGTTATAGAGTATATACTGCAGAGTGCCCGCTGCCACTGTTAGAACCCTGGTAATAGAGTATATACTGCAGAGTGCCCGCTGCCACTGTTAGAACCCTGGTAATAGAGTATATACTGCAGAGTGCCCGCTGCCACTGTTAGAACCGTGGTTATAGAGTATATACTGCAGAGTGCCCGCTGCCACTGTTAGAACCCTGGTAATAGAGTATATACTGCAGAGGGCCCGCTGCCACCGTTAGAACCCTGGTAATAGAGTATATACTGCAGAGGGCCCGCTGCCACTGTTAGAACCCTGGTAATAGAGTATATACTGCAGAGGGCCCGCTGCCACCGTTAGAACCCTGGTAATAGAGTATATACTGCAGAGTGCCCGCTGCCACTGTTAGAACCCTGGTAATAGAGTATATACTGCAGAGTGCCCGCTGCCACTGTTAGAACCGTGGTTATAGAGTATATACTGCAGAGTGCCCGCTGCCACTGTTAGAACCCTGGTAATAGAGTATATACTGCAGAGTGCCCGCTGCCACTGTTAGAACCCTGGTAATAGAGTATATACTGCAGAGTGCCCGCTGCCACTGTTAGAACCCTGGTAATAGAGTATATACTGCAGAGTGCCCGCTGCCACTGTTAGAACCCTGGTTATAGAGTATATACTGCAGAGTGCCCGCTGCCACCGTTAGAACCCTGGTTATAGAGTATGTACTGCAGAGTGCCCGCTGCCACCATTAGAACCCTGGTAATAGAGTATATACTGCAGAGTGCCCGCTGCCACCGTTAGAACCCTGGTAATAGAGTATATACTGCAGAGTGCCCGCTGCCACCGTTAGAACCCTGGTAATAGAGTATATACTGCAGAGTGCCCGCTGCCACCGTTAGAACCCTGGTAATAGAGTATATACTGCAGAGTGCCCGCTGCCACCGTTAGAACCCTGGTTATAGAGTATATACTGCAGAGTGCCCGCTGCCACCGTTAGAACCCTGGTAATAGAGTATATACTGCAGAGGGCCCGCTGCCACTGTTAGAACCCTGGTAATAGAGTATATACTGCAGAGGGCCCGCTGCCACTGTTAGAACCCTGGTTATAGAGTATATACTGCAGAGTGCCCGCTGCCACCGTTAGAACCCTGGTTATAGAGTATATACTGCAGAGTGCCCGCTGCCACCGTTAGAACCCTGGTAATAGAGTATATACTGCAGAGTGCCCGCTGCCACTGTTAGAACCCTGGTAATAGAGTATATACTGCAGAGGGCCCGCTGCCACTGTTAGAACCCTGGTTATAGAGTATATACTACAGAGTGCCCGCTGCCACTGTTAGAACCCTGGTAATAGAGTATATACTGCAGAGTGCCTGCTGCCACTGTTAGAACCCTGGTAATAGAGTATATACTGCAGAGGGCCCGCTGCCACCGTTAGAACCCTGGTTATAGAGTATATACTACAGAGTGCCCGCTGCCACTGTTAGAACCCTGGTAATAGAGTATATACTGCAGAGTGCCCGCTGCCACCGTTAGAACCCTGGTTATAGAGTATATACTGCAGAGTGCCCGCTGCCACTGTTAGAACCCTGGTGGGTGCTTGTGAGTACTTCTCACTACAGAATCTTGCAACAGATGACAAAGTAGAATTTTTTTTCAAGTGTGGGGAAGGCTATCATGAGCCCTGCTTAGTAAGCCCTTTGAGTCGGCTGTACTGTTATGAAAGTAAAGAGGCAGAGTTGACATGCTGGAGAGACTTAGAACTGATCTTTCCCCTTTTCCCTCAATAGCACATTCGTGTTGGATGGGAGCTGCTGCTGACAACCATCGCCAGAACCATCAATGAGGTGGAGACTCAGATCCTGACGAGAGATGCGAAGGGCATCACCCAGGAGCAGATGAATGAGTTCAGAGCCTCCTTCAACCACTTTGACAGGGTACCACTCTCTACTTATTTGAAGGGCAATACTGGGGACATTAAACAATGTATCTGAAATAATATGCATGCTCTCGTTTTAAGTCTTAAGGCTCCACAACATTTACAGGGAAACAGGATAGTTAATGACAAAAGAAAATAGCCACCAAAACTAAGTGTCCTAAGCTTTGATGTTGCTCAAGGTGACACAAAGTCCAGGTTTGTGTGCTGTTTCATACAGATCACTTAATAGAATGCATTTGTAGTTGACATCAAAGCTGATTTGTTCTAAGTCAAAGTGTATTCTTCACAAAATGTGATTGTTGGCTTTAGGTCATTTCGTAAAGACTTAAATACAAAACTCTGATATGCTTTTCCTAAGCAACTGTTTAGGAAAAGCATCTGGTCATAATTTAACCCATTCTTTCAACATATAAAACTCAGTTTTCTGTTTTAATTAACAAAATTGATGCATGATCTCTTTTAAGGACATGCAGCAATAAAATGGTGATAATTTTTGTAGTAAAAGCATATAAAAAGCTAAGTGCTGCTTTAAAAATATCATCTAGTATTCTGATTTGAATAATATTGAGTAGAACCAATTCTTTATGAGAAAATACTATTTACTAATCCTGTGGCTGGAAGTGAGTGACTATTAAGGCACACTCCAATTCTTTTCTTTTTTTTTTTTAATGAGACGGAGTCTCGCTCTGTCACCAGGCTGGAGTGCAGTGGCATGATCTCGGCTCACTGCAACCTCCGCCTCCCGGGCTCAAGCAATTCTCCTGCCTCAGCCTCCCTAGTATCTGGGACTATAGGCACCTGCCACCATGCCTGGCTAATTTTTTTTTTTTTTTTTCAGTAGAGACGGGGTTTCGCCATGTTAGGCAGGATGGTCTCAATATCCTGATCTCATGATCCACCCACCTTGGCCTCCCAAAGTGCTAGGATTACAAGTGTGAGCCACCGCACCTGGCCTTTTTTCTTTTTGTTTTGTTTTGTTTTGTTTTGTTTTGTTCTGTTTTTGAGATGGAGTTGTGCTTTTGGTGCCCAGGCTGGAGTGCAATGGTGTGATCTCAGCTCCCTGCAACCTCCACCTCCCAGGTTCAAGCGATTATCCTGCCTCAGCCTCCCAAGTAGCTGGGATTACAGGCATATGCCACCATGCCTGGCTAATTTTTTGTATTTTTACTAGAAACAGGGTTTTACTATGTTGGCCAGGCTGGTCTTGAACTCCTGACCTCAGGTGATCCATCTGCCTCAGCCTCCCAAAGTGCTGAGCTTACAGGCGTGAGCCACCACGACTAGCTACGTTCCAATTCTTAAAGATCACTAAAAGGGATGTACCATTACTTTGCATGGAGCCCTGTTATGATTTGCAAATGTCCATCAGTCGTTCCTAAAATGCCTCTGGGCTAGATAGACCAGTCAGATTTGGGCCTTTTGGAGGATTCAGACAGTGGACTTCTGATCAGAGAGCTAGGCATAAGTAAAAAATTATCCACAGAGATGGATATTGACGTTCTTATAGCTTCAGCACACCTTTATTGTGCAGCAGCATGCTGTGATTTGACGTATCTGCATTCATTAAAGCCCAAGTCATTTTTCTTCCAAGGAGGGAAATGATGGATCGTCATCCCTGTACACAACCATCTCTTGTTGAAAGACACTCTCACTCATTGGGGCTACTTTATAGGAAGAAAGCACATTGATTTGAATCCAAGATGATCACAATCTTTTGCAACAAAAGTCCAAGGAGTACAATGCAGAACTTACCATGTTTAGAAGTTTGTTCAAATTAAACATGAATGATTCTTTGTCAGTAGGTGGCAGTAGTGAGCTCCTGACTAGTTCCTTTTGCTGTTTTCTTGAGTGTGTGGTCTCCTTTCGTTTTTGTCTGGTCTTTACCCTCCTCTCCCCTCTTTTTCATTTTTAAGAAACTAGTTTGTAACATCCTTGTGCTGGCTCCATCCTTCTCGCAAGTCAGTGGTGACATTTACGACCTTGGCAGAGCTCAAAGTGCTTCTCTTACCAGATCTTTGTTCAGTTGGTCAAGTAGAGTTGCTCATCTTGCCCTGTGCTCACCTGCTCTGTCCTTTGTTTTTGCCAACAGAGGAAGAATGGCCTGATGGATCATGAGGATTTCAGAGCCTGCCTGATTTCCATGGGTTATGACCTGGTAAGACAGAAGTTGAAATTGTACTAAGATTTGATATTTTATTGAATTTGGATTTCTGTTATAAAAGATGACAAGCTCAAACCAAGGTAGTGCATTTGGGATTGGTTCGTTTTCATTATATAGGATAATATTTTTTGAAGGTCTCACTGTTATTATATAAAAATAAAGTCACGAGGCCTGGCGCAGTGGCTCACGCCTGTAATCCCAGCACTTTGGGAGGCCGAGGCGGATGGATCACCTGAGGTCAGGGGTTTGAGACCAGCCTAACCAATATGGTGAAACCTCTTCTCTACTAAAAATCCAAAAATTAGCCAGCTGTGGTGGCGGGCACCTGTAGTCCCAGCTACTTGGGAGGTTGAGGCAGGAGAATGGCTTGAACCTGGGAGGCGGAGGTTGCAGTGAGCTGAGATTGCACCACTGCACTCCAGCCTAGATGACAAGAGTGAAACTCCATCAAAAAAAAAAAAAGTCACAGAACCAAAGCATTTATTTTTATTCAATAATTGGTCAGATTATTTTTTCTAGTGAAGGAGATGAGAACATAGGCTTTTTGATTGTTTTAAACAGCTTTACTGAGATATAACTCACGTACTACGGTTTACCCATTTAAAGTGTATACTTCAGTGGCTTTTAGTAGGAACCTAATGATTTTTCAAGTGCTTTTTCCTCTAATATGCTGAAAGGTAAAAAAGGTTTAGTCGTAAATCAGCCAAGATAAACTTACATTTCCCTGTGGGCTGGGATAGTCCTAGTATATCAGACACTTCTCTGTTACCCATTAATGAGTATTTTTAACCTGGCCTCCCTTGATTCTCTTTGGGACTGTAAACTACAGTCGTGACAGCCATGTTCTGAGCTGCCTTCAGTTTGGCAGCATCGCTTTCCTAGTTGTAATCTGAGGAAAGGGCTCAGCTCCCGCTTTGACCTCCTCTTCCATAATTACGTCACGTGACCCATCAAGGCCAGCAGTGGGTCCCAGAGAGGAAAGACTTCTGACATTTACAAGCTTCTGGTTTGAAGCTCCAGCAACTTTTAAAATTGTTTGGTAGCAGTAAACCTTAGTCACCCTTAAGGGGAATCTTGTCCAAAGACTGAAGGGAAACGCAGGTAATAATTCAGTTTTCAGACATAAAGGAATTGGCATGTCACCAGGGAAAGAATGAAAACGGCTCTGTTGAGAGTTGTGTACCGTTCGTGTACATGTTTCTTTGCCACTTTGCCCCAGGGTGAAGCCGAATTTGCCCGCATTATGACCCTGGTAGATCCCAACGGGCAAGGCACCGTCACCTTCCAATCCTTCATCGACTTCATGACTAGAGAGACGGCTGACACCGACACTGCCGAGCAGGTCATCGCCTCCTTCCGGATCCTGGCTTCTGATAAGGTCTGCATTGACAGATTTCCTTCTGCTTTAGCAGGAGTCCACTACATCCTTCTAACAAAAAAGGCAACAGTGTTGTAAATAAAAACCATTTTTATGCCGGTGTATTTTGTACAACATTGGCACTGATTTCAGAAGGCAGCAGATAGACACACAACAATGGCGCGCCCAGCACAGAGGAAACAGACATGCCATTCCTGGCATTCGTGCTTGGCCTTGCATTGAGTTTTTATAGAAGGGACAAGAGTGTATTTGTACTTGCGTGTGTGTGTGTGTGTGTGTGTGTGTATGTGCGCGCTACTGGTTCGACCCCTGTTTTACATTCTAGGTTGGTGGATGTGACTCAGAAAGAAGAAACTATGCAATTTAGATGTTATAAAACTGGTACCTTCTCCTAAGGATCAATGACCCTGACTTTGTGCCCAGCCATGGAGCAAAGTTAAATATAGCCGTTCAGTCAGTAAAAAATTGGCAAGCTTTTCATTACATGTAGCCTAGACCTTCAGGAGGAGTTTAATTGCCAGTTCAGAATTGTAATATTTTACCCCCCAAACAATAAAAACATCTCTATGTATAAATTCAATTTGGGACAGGATTATTTTACCCTGTTTTCTGGCTGAGAGGATAATGAACATTACCACAAGGAGGTTAGCATGCTAAAACACAGTAACAGAGCCATATTTATTACCTTAAAAATCAGATAAGACCAACTATTTTTAAAATAATGTTTTCTTTAAAATGAATCATTTACCCATGGGGTGAGGGTGGATGGGAAATAGCCCAGCTGATTTAGAAGGTAAGAAACCATGGCTCCTCCAACCCCACTAAGAAACTTCTACTATAAATTATATAATATGCAAACTATAATGATATAAATTATAATGTGATATTTGAGATTTACTTATTTTGACTTTTACCAACCAGACTATTTGGCTGGAATTGTCCTATTTCCCACTGAACTTTTTTTTTAAAAGCTTCATCTTTTCTGGTATGAAATGCAGATCATAGTACGTATCCTCGCATTGTGGCTCAGTTTGAGAACTACTAGTAATGCTCCATTTGCCTTTATGAAGCATATCACCCTTCCTGCTGGCCAGGCCGCTTCTAGATACGCTCCTACAAGTAAAACTTGGCTTTCTGTTGGTTGTCTGGTACTACTATGCCAATAGACTCCCTATTCTTTAGTCCTTTTAAAAAATTAAACAGATGCAAGAAATATGTAAGTATTAAGACTGTTTATGTTGTGGTGTTTCTGCAACTGACTGCAAACACGTGTGTATTTTTTCCCAGCCATACATCCTGGCGGAGGAGCTGCGTCGGGAGCTGCCCCCGGATCAGGCCCAGTACTGCATCAAGAGGATGCCCGCCTACTCGGGCCCAGGCAGTGTGCCTGGTGCACTGGATTACGCTGCGTTCTCTTCCGCACTCTACGGGGAGAGCGATCTGTGATGCTGAGCTTCTGTAATCACTCATCCCATCAGAATGCAATAAAAGCGGAAGTCACAGTTTGTTTCCTGGAAACTTTGACAAGCTTTATTAAGTTGAGAGAGAGAGAGGGGAAAAAAAAAAGCCTTTCGTAGTTCAGTAATTGCCAGCAATATAACACGGCTAAAATGAAGTTTTTACAGTATATGACATAGTGCGCTTCATAAATAGGTTTATTTCTGAGTTTTTAGCAAAATGTAATGAAATATCAGGTTGATTTCTTTGATTAAACAGAACAAATTACTTGAGTAATAGGAAATTAGGAGGATCTAGGGACAGAAGGAAAGTGAAAAATGTGAAAATACAAAATACCCAAGATTTAAGACCGGGGGGAAAAAACCACAAATTGGTAAATAAAGGTTTGCTATTTGTAAAAAATTTCATTTATCTCTAATATGCTTATGTGATTGCCCCTAGGGGAGTATATTTGGGATTCTAATGTTTTATTTTCATGCTTATCCAAAGATTACTATTGTATCTTCAAATGAATTTAATATTGTGAGATGGAACTGCCGGGGATTAAAAAGACTACCCAAAAGATTTTTGGCACTTACAATTTTTAAAATAGTTTATGTCATCTCTTCATTATTTAGGGCTGGATGGTCAACTCAGTCAGTGATTTTTTGATGCTTCTCTTATCCTCCAGAATAGAGACCTAAGGACACGTGGAAGTCAGTTTAATTGCCAGAGAGAAGGATGCAATCACTAGGTAAAATGAGGTTTTTAGGATTATTTATTGATTCCAGGTTCCCATGCTTTTTGTTAGAGCTTATTAGTACAGGTTCTCAAGAGATGACCACATAAAAGTGCTCTGTTTATAAATAAGCAGGTTTCTGTAGTACTGACTGGTTCATCACAAGGCAAGTCAGAAACCAGTATCCTTCTAGCTCTCCAGTCAGGACTTCCTTATGCCTCTAGTTTTATGACCGGTTAAGGAGAAGCCAGAGTTAGAGTAGGAGAGGACTAATTCTCAGCAGCAGTGGAGGTGAGTTCTTTCTTTTGCGGAAGCTTTACATATGTTTTGTGTAGTAGGAATAACTAGATATTTTAGCTAGTGTGCGGTGTGTGTTCACCCCTGGGATTGGACAGTGTATCCTAACAAGTCCCATGTCTGGTTCTGTGTCTAAAGGCCTGCTCCATGACACAGGATGCTACATGCACTCCTGCTAGCACATCTTGATCTGTTGAATGTTCATTCTTTCTTTTTGCTCATACTGCTGTAGGCTATAATTCCCCCCTGTTTTTCCATCTTGTTGACAGCTTGTAGAGAATAAAGCAGGAATTCTTTTTATATCTGAGTCCTTAATGATCAGGAAATGGATTACAAACAAACAAAAACAGTTGCAAACAGCAATTAAAGCATTACTAGAGAAGCAGTAACATGTCTGTTACCTACAGTCTGTTTGCTCAGATTTTTATAGATTTCCACCAACAGCTGGAAATGTAATATTTCCATTCCAAGCTGTCTGACAGCTTGACTCTTCTTCCTACACTGGGCCATTTAGAACCTTCAACCTTTATGAATTTCACTTAATTTGCTTCATTATTAAGTAATTGGTAGTTTCCAGATTCCTGAAATATTTGAATCCTTGAGTTTAATGCCAAACACTTTTGGGGTGGTTTAGATGAACTCTGACTCTATTTTATTTCAAGTAGGTGCTATATCCCGGCCATAAACCCCTATAGAAAAGCCAGAAAGTTGTGCTTCCTTTGAGGCTATTAGGGGGCTCTGTGGTGTTTTAGGATGGGTGTGGGTAACTCATCTACCTAAACTTTTAATTTCTTTACAACATTCAGCAAGAGAGGGGGTCAGTAGTCTCTATCTGCTAATAAATGAAGAAAGGAAGTAAACTCTGAAAAATAATAAACATGTTTATACTCTCATTTTAGGTATTATTTTTATTTCTGAAGCTGGATGCTCAAAAATTAAAACGTTTATAAGTTTCTAAATTAAACTTAATTTATAAAAGAAAAAAGAATCCCTATTTTTGTTATTTCAAAAAATAACCATTACTTTGGTTAACTACAAACAAACTTCCTCACTTAAAGGTTCCATGAGAATTAAAAACAGTCATTGGGTTAGTATTTGCCTCCCTTAAAGAATTAGAGACAGGCTTACTGGGTAGAGGGTGAACATAAGATGGAGAATTAACAATGAACCATTTAGAAGTGAATGATGGATGGCCCGGGGCATGGTGGCACACACCTGTAATCCCAGTACTTTGAGAGGCCAAGGTGGGCGGATCACTTGAGATCAGGAGTTCAAGACCAGCCTGGCCAACATGGCAAAAACCCATGTCTACTAAAAATACAAAAATTAGCCGGGTTTGGTTGCATGCCTGTAATCCCAGCTACTCAGCAGCTAAGGCAGGAGAATCACTTGAACCCAAGAGGTGGAGATTGCAGTGAGCCGAGATGGAGCCATTGCACTACCAGCCTGGGCAACAAGAGTGAAACTCCATCTCAAAAAAAAAAAAAAAAAAAAAAAAATCAGTGATGAATAGATTAGGAAGGAATTTTTAACCAAGAGATCACTTCAGAATCCTCAGTAAATATTTTCTAAAATGTATGCATACTCAGCCCTAATCCCAGAGTCTCAAGCTGTGAAGGTCTAGGTAAGACTTGGACATCTGCAGTTTTTTAAAACTCCATGGAATTTCTAATAACCCCCCATGAGAACCCGTGGATTAGAGGCAAAGGAAAGGTCATTAAGAATCAAGAGTCTAAAACGGCCAAGCGTGGTGGCTCACGCCTGTAATCCCAGCATGTTGGGAGGCCAAGGCAGGCAGATCATGAGGTCAAGAGATCGAGACCATCCTGGCCAACATGGTGAAACCCCGTCTCTACTGAAAATTCAAAAATTAGCCGGATTTGATGGTGTGCGTCTGTAGTCCCAGCTACTCGGGAGGCTGAGGCAGGAGAATCGTTTGAACCTGGGAGGTGGAGTTTGCAGTGAGCTGAGATAGTGCCATTGCACTCCAGCCTGGGCAACAGAGCAAGACTCCATCTCAAAAAAAAAAAAAAAGAAAAAAAGTCTAATAAAATGATTAGAGAAGACCTTACTGGCAAGGTTAATAGTTGAGCAATACAAATGGCCAGGCAAACCCTTGTGCCATCTGGTTGGTAATACAGAAATGCTTGACATAACTGAGTTTTAAATTAGAGCATTTGGCTTGGTATTCATTCCTGCTGTATACCAGATTCATCTATGTTCATGGAAATAAGCTGGAAATGAGCTCTTTACAGGCTTCATATGAAAGGAAACAAATCTAAGTGATACGGAGTCAGAAACATGTATTTTCAGAAGTTGCTAGTTGTTACCAGGCTGACAAAGATTCACCCACAGCTTCCCTGGATTATTTGACAAGAAGACACTGAGTTCCCACTGTGTCCTTGAGCTCTTTCGGGTTCCCTGGAGCCTACACAATAATTATACTGCTCTGAGACATTTTCATATTTCAGATGGAGTCAGCAGAGAAGACAGCGTCGTTTTTCCTTTTTAGATTCATTAATTAATAACTCAATCCTTAAGCAACTGACAGACCGTTATTCTTTTTAAGGTGCTAGGAGTTGCGATTTGTCAGTGACCCCTGGCCATGAATTCCCTCTGGGATTTAAGTCTTTTAGGAGTTACCTCCCCAGCAGTGCAGACCTCCTTGTTGTAAAATGGATGGAATGTCTGGGAGTACACCAAGGCATACTCGCAAATCCTTTTGCATGGCTGGGAACTTCCAAGAAACCACAGTGGCAGATATTAAAAAGCCAATATAAGATATAAGATATATAAGATATAAGAAAACCAATTGTCATGGTCTTGTTAAAAGAAAAACTTCAGACAAATTTAACAGAGTTGAGTTGAACAAAGAACAATTTGTGACTTGGGCAGCCCCTGAATCAGAACAGGTACAGAGCAGCTCTGGTGCTGCTGCATGAGAGGACTTGGGGACTGAGGGGGGAAAGTGAGGCGCAGAAACTGCTGGATTGGTTACAGCTTGGTGTTTGCCTTATGTAAACAATTTGAACAGTTGGCTGCCTTTCATTCACCAAAACTTGGTGATCGGTACAAAAGTAGGTTACAATCTGTTTACACATCCAGTGAGGTTACAGTTCACTGTGTATGGAAAAACCTTTAGGCTGAACTTAAAATATGTCAGGAGGCAGATTTAGGCTAACCTTTATTTAACAGTCTTTGCAAGACAAGCTACCAGAGGAGAAAGATTCTGTAAATAGTTGTAGACGGGAGAAAAAGGAGATTATATGCATACTTAGTATAAACAACGAAATGGTATTATGGTTCTGAAATCAGATATATGTATTATAAAGGATTGGGGTGGCTGTGATACCAGGTTTTGCTTACTTTACCTTTTCTATCCCTCAGTTATTGTCACAAGCATGAATTGCTCATGAGGGAGATTAGTAACAGAAAATCCCAGAGCATCAACAAGAGATATTAACCATCAAAATGGCTTTTTAAAAATGTATTTAAACATAGGCAGTTCTTTTTAGCTATTCAATTAGACGATCACCATTGGACAACCAAACAGCATAGGCTAGTGTGCTTCTGAGACCACAATAGTGTTCAGGTTTTTATAGATAAAACCTGCAGTGGCCAGGTACGGTGGCTTACACCTGTAATCCCAGCACTTTGGGAGGCTGAGTTGGGTGGATTGCTTGGGTTCAGGAGTTCGAGACCAGCCTGGGCAACATGGTGAAACTTCATCTGTACAAAAATGCAAAAAGATTAGCTGGGCATGGTAGCATATGCCCATACTCCCAGCTACTCGGGAGGTGGGGGTGGGAGGATTGCTTGAGCCCAGGGAGGTCAAGGTGGCAGTGAACCGTGACCATGCCACTGCACTCCAGCCTGCCTGGGTGACGGAGTGAAAGCTTGTCTCAAAAAACAAAAAACCTGCGGGAATTTTTTACATGATTTATTTTAGATTTGGCGTGTCTTATACAAGAAAGTTCTCAAAACATATTTATCAAAGCACATAAAATATTCCAATTACAATCTTGATTTTATTTCATCTCTTAAAGTGGTATCTTCTAATTCATATTAGCCAAAAATAAAACTTTTACTACATACCAGGCCAATTAATTTGTAGCAGTCTACACTCTTTCCTTAAATACACTGGAAAGACTTTTTATTAGTATGTCCAACAAAACTAATGGTATAATGGAATTATTTCTGAATTTGATACAAGATTTTTACACATACGCATGCATGTTTTCCAAAAGAATACCACTCTTTTTAGCATCCTCCTTTCTTCATGAATAACTTAAAATTGTAGCTACATATATTTCCTTTTTTTTTAAGTGGAGTCTCTCTCTGTTGCCCAGGTTGGAGTGCGGTGCAATCTCGTCTCAATGCAACCTCTGTCTCCTGGGTTCAAGCGATTCTCATGCCTCAGTCTCCCAAGGAGGTGGGATTACAGGCACGCACCACCCCACATGGCTAATTTTTCTATTCTCAGTAGAGATGGGGTTTCATCGTGTTGGCCAGGCTGGTCTTGAATTCCTGACCTCAAATGATCTGCCTGCCTCGGCCTCCCAAAGTGCTGGGATTAGCTACATATATTTCATAAATAAATGAGAAAGACAGACTTACATAGTGAAAAGTTTAATTATATTAGCACAACATCATTTTAATCTGGACTTAACTGCTTTTATAAAAGTTGTTGCATTATTTATTTTTCAGTGGTTTTAATACTATTCCTCAAAATGTGTTAGCAGCTTATTTTAATCATAAAATGAAGTCAGTTTTTTTTTTTTTTTTTTTTTTTTAACTGACAGGCTAATCTAGCTAATTGTTTAGACAGACTGGTAATTAGGCTACATGGGGGATGTCTTCCATTTTTTCAGTTTTCTAAATCTGCAGCTCCAAAGTTTTGATGAAAATATAATTAAGCCACATGATAATATAAAAGCATTTTATTATTTTTTAAAGTATCAGCAAAGATGTATTGAAATGAACAATTTCCCCCAACTCTTCCTGATTATATTGGATTAAACAAGGAGTACTTCAGAGAAAAACAGCAGGTGTAATTAGTGGTCACTTGGTAGGTCTGAGGAGATGGCACCACTACAGCTTAGAAGAAACACAGTTCCTATTGGACTGTGAGGAATAGCTGGCCCCTGCTGGCTCACCCCAACACTGCCATGTGGAAAGAGAAACCAACTTGTATGTTCTTTAAGCCACTCTACTCAGGGTCTCTGTTACAGTAGCTCAGCTGTACCCTAAGTAATACAGAATTAACCTCAACAGCTTCCTGACCTGGTTGTGTACTTAGCATAGCTTGTCTAGCTACACTGATGATATTTTAGATTTTATTAACATTTTCACATTTTTTTCCCTCTCAATGGATATTTATGTGCATTTTCATCATGGAAGATAATGACATTTTGTACTAAATTCAACTCATTCATTCACTCATTTTTACATGCACTGCAGAACGTTTAAACACAATTTTAAGACACTCTTTGTTTTCTCTTCACATGCTTTATTCCTCTCTTCTAGACAGTTTTCCTTCAGTACCCATCTGACTCCCATCAAAGCAAAGTGAGCAGTTTTGCTGTTGAAGAGTATCTATGTCTCTGGGGTCAAGATTCTTTCCCTTTCCCCACCTACACCCTTTTGTTCTCTTTAATATAGTTTATGAACATTTTTTGTTTAATGAAAGAGACAACACGTGGTATGGGTCTTAAAGACCAAGTATGCCAAATGTCTTATCCCCCACTTGCACCTTCCATTGCAATGCTTTCTTTCTTTCTTTCTTTCTTTTTTTTTTTTTTGAGGAGTCTTGCTCTGTCGCCCAGGCTGGAGTGCAGTGGTGTGATCTCAGCTCATTGCAACCTCCGTCTCCCAGGTTCAAGCGATTCTCCTGCCTCAGCCTCCCAAGTAGCTGGATTACAGGTGCCCACCACCACACCTGGCTAATTTTTGTATTTTTAGTAGATACGGGGTTTCACCATGTTGGCCAGGCTGGTCTCGAACTCCTGATCTCAGGCGATCCGCCTGCCTTGGCCTCCCAAAGTGCCGGGATTACAGGCGTGAGCCACTGTGCCCGTCCTGCAATGCTTTCTCATGAGATTTACAGATAACATCGACGGGGAGGGTCCTGGCCAGCACTGCCTCACATCTTGTCATTTTTCTTTTTTGATCCCCAGGAACCCAGTGTGTCTGAGATGCTGGTTATACTGGCATGTCATGACAAACGAACTTCAGCCTGGTACTCTTGCTTGCATGTTAGCCTAAGGAATTGTGATTGCAGAGCCCTGGTGAATCAAATTATCCTTATCCTCCATGGAAAATGCCCTTGGAGGCACCCTGCACTGTGGCTATGTGTGTGGACCTCAGGCTGGAAAAGTAAAAGTGTGTGAACAAAGGCTGAGACCTGTTTTCATAGCTTGGTGGAGATAGAAGAACATGTGTCAATTCCTTTCTACTAAAGGGAGCATTAGAGAGAATGCCACTTTAGAGTATGGAGTATGTTAGGGGTTTCAGGGCTGTTCTAATGAGGATTTTCTCATGTTTCATAAACAAATTTTCCTAGGCTTAACAATAGTACCTTTTTTTGTTTTCAATTACACACACACAAAAATGGCTTCACATTTCACAGCTTCATTGTTTTCTTGCCTGTTCTGTCATTCTCAGATAACGCCTAGACTCTCTTCCCCCTGGGTCCCCTAGCTCAATCAGCCCTCCTCTTGCTGGATGTCAGTATCTGGGCAGCCTCAAGGCTTGCTGCCCCAGGTTACTGAGCTACTTGGTTCTTCACAGTGTGAAAAAGCTGCCTTTGATTTTCCCTTTGACCTCTCACTTTCTGCTTCTTTCTGTGGTCACAGATTCATTTTCTCCTGCATTCCTCCTCCTTGGCTTTGTGTTCCATAGACTAGACTACTGCCCTGTTTGTTGTTTTTGCCTGTTTTCCCATCTCCAGAATTTGCCTGAAGATCCTTTCCTCTTCAATAGACTTGCCAAGTGATATTCAATCCAATCAAACAATGTGTCAGTGTTTCCCAAACTCCAATCATTCTGGTACACTACCACAATGTTTTACCCAGTATTCTTAATATTTTTATTTTAAGTTAACTTCGTATATCAAAAACAGAAAATCTGCCTGGGTGCAGTGGCTCATGCCTGTAATCCCAGCACTTTGGGAGGTCAAGGCAGGTGGATCACTTGAGGCCAGGAGTTCGAGAACAGCCCGGCCAAGATGGTGCCACTGCATTCCAGCCTAGGCAACAGAGCAAGATTCTGTCTCAAGAAAAGAAGAAAAGAAAATGTATCATTATTGTAAGTGGGAAAGCAAAGTTACTTTTCCATAAATAGAAGGTAACTATAATAAAAATAAATACATAGGTATCTCCTACCTGTGTGGTGTCCTTTCCCCATTGTTTGCTGCAGTGCCTTCGCTGCTGCAGAATATTCCTGGTCTCAGACTGTACAGCTTTAGCCTGCCAAGGAACAGCCCCTGAGCCTGAGAAACTGACCACAAGAGTTAAGGCTACTGTCTGTTCCTTCCTTGCACTGCGGTGGGTGTCACAGTGGGAGCAGGAGGTGTACACAGCGGTCCCAGAACACAGCTCTCTCCTCCCGTTAAGGGGTCTACTTCAGCATTCCCATGGAAGCTCATATGCTGAGTGAGTCTCGTGTCTGAATCCCAGTGGGGAGCTGTGTGGGCTCCAAGTAGTTGCTATGCAATTCAACCTTTATTGCCTTTTCCTAAATCTGACAGCCCCCAAATGGTTATCCTAAAATTGTTCATTGTCCTCCTTCTTTTGGGTAATTCTGCAAAGCTGTGGGACATGGTACACAGGCAGCCGGGGTTTGTGTGAGGCCAAGCAAATCCAACTCCAGTCCTTGCGCACACACCCTGAGCACATGTCTGCCATAACTAATAATTAAATTATCTTCTACGTATCTAAAATCCTTCTGTGAACCGCATTTGGGGAAATACCTATCTAAAGGTATTATCAAGATTTCAGGAAATTATGTCCCAGAGATAGTCTCATCCAAATTCCTTCATTTGATAAACTGAGGCTCAGAAAGGACAAGAGACACACATTATCACAATTGCTCCTCACAGCAGTCCCCTTGAGCTAAATATTATTATCCTTATTCGTTAGAAAACTGAGACAATCATGGGTAAGTGCTGGTCATGCAGCTAGTTGGCAACAAAGTCAGGACAAGAAAGCACATCTCTGATATCTAAGACTACTCTTTTTTTTTTTTTAATTATTTTTTTTTTGAGACAAGTTCTCGCTCTGTCACCCAGGCTGGAGTACAGTGCTGTGAACACTGCTCACTGCAGCCTTGACCTCCTGGGCTCAAGAGATCCTCCCACCTCAGAGTCTCAAAGTGCTGAGATTACATGTGTGAGCCACCACGCCCAGCTAAGACTGTTCTTATCCATTATCCCAAGATAAATTTTAAATGTAAGTGATTCTGACTCTTATTCTAAAACCAAACACAGAACACATCCACTTCCTTCCCAAGTGTAGACTGTGGGAGCCATCCTCCAACATATCAAAAATCCACATTTTTTTCCCATAGGGTCAGGTGTCTAAATCACCCAACTCTGTTTTATGCATGAAATGTTCCATACTTAATGGCATAGAAAAAAATAGGTAGAAAAAATGACCACTGCGGGAAAAAATATTAAATGGAAATACTATATAAATAAAATTTTCAAAACCAAATGAATTCCTAGACTGTTGGAATATTCATTTAAGTAATAAACACATAAAAAGCAGACTATTTGTTTATTTCAGATGTATGAAAGCCCTTCGGTTCTCTGGATTTAAATTTAAACATTAAATTTACATTCTATTTATGTCCTGACACATGTACACATTCAATACTATTATGAGAGTTATTATAAGAGTTAACAGTAAAACAGGTTACTTAACTGCCTGGGCATCAGAGATGAACCAAGTCTTTCAGACAATGCAGCCCACCAACCCACTAGTTTTCCCTTAACAGTCTAGTGTCCAACAAGATTACTAAATTGGAAGTTCTTTTTTTTGGGACAGAGTCTCATCTCACTGTGTCGCCCCGGCTGGAGTGCAGTGGTGCAATCTCTCCTCACTGCAACCTCCGCCTCCCCAGTTCAAGAGATTCTCCCACTTCAGCCTCCCAAGTAGCTGGGATTACAGGCACCCACCACCATACTGGGCTAATTTTTGTATTTTTAGTGGAGATGGGGTTTCACCATGTTGGCCAGGCTGGTCTCGAACTTCTGACCTCAAGTGATCCGCCCGCCTCGGCCTCCCAAAGTGCTGGGATTACAGGCGTGAGCCACCACACCCGGCCTGGAAGTTTTTTATCCCTGTGTTGGGCCTCAGAAACTGATACCCAGAATATGGAACCCTGGTAGGTACGCTGATTATTTTAAATGAAAGGCCCTTAGACACCAGCAGATGCTGAAAGAGGCTGTTTCCTGCAGTTCCCTTATCTGCCTGAGGTCTGGACCTGCCAAAGAAGAAAACAATGACATCTAGTTCCTTCCCTCAGTTTTCATCTACTTATATCACAGGAAGAAAGACTGAACTCTGTCAACACACCTGGACAGACTTTTGTCACAAATCATAGCCTTCTACTTTGGTCCCATTTCCAAGAGAATAATTTACCAGCCATTGTCTGCTCTGAGGGTCCAATAGACTTTGTCCCAGGCCATTCTATGTTTTCCTGGCCCATTCATTTCCCCCTAAAAATCACTTACAATCCCCCAAATCGCCACATTTCCCTTATCTCCCCTTCCTTCCCCTAAGAAGAAGCATCTGGAGTGCCCACTGGATTACTGGGTAATAATTCTGTGATTCCCCTGTGCAATGCACATTAAAGTAAAATTTAAAAGGTCTTTTCTCCTATTAATCTTTTTTTCAGTTTTCAGCTAACATTCAGTGTGCAAAAGGGAAGGTTTCCTTTGGCCCATACCCCTGATAGATGGCAAGTTCTTTAAGGACAGGGATCATGCTTTACATATCCATGAATCCTCACTGCTTATCACAACGCTTACATCAGCAGGTACTCAATAAATCATTGTTGAATGAATGATAACATCTAAACTTACTCTACGTATGTTTTCTTTGGCAAAGGACACATGGCCTCAGTTGGTGCTTGCACCTGCCTCATGCCAATGCCCACCACTAGCCAAAGCTTGTTTGCCTTTTTTTTTGTTCCAAGGCTTAGGCCCCCAGTAACTTCCCAAAGACCACGGCTCCTGGGCATGAGTTGTCTCTACGTCAGCTCATTGGTGGAGCAGACGGATATATGCTTCTGAGCTCACTGCCAACTTCCTCAAAGTAGATTGTGGCCAGAAAGGAGGAGGGCTGACTGGCGAATAAAGGAGGTGCCTGATGAGAAGTGTTATAGGAGGGCTGGTTAGACAGTGAGCAGTGGGCAGATGAAGTGACCAGGAAAGAGGCAGAGAAACACCAACAGCACCCACCTTCCACCCCCATAGAGTGCTAAGGCTGTTTTAACACAGAATTCTTTCATGCATAGTGATAACAATTATCCAAAGATCTGCTGACAACAAAGTGACATACTCAGTGAGGAGGCTGCTGAAATATTCCAAATTTGAGATAAGGGCCTGGCCTACGGTGAACAGAGAAGATACTTTGGCTTATTCTTCCAATCCTAATTGGAAATTTAGTGTCCGCAACTAGTCTTATCTTCTTTGACTAAAGTGAACTGGATTGACATAGACTCCTTTTGAAAGTTGATATTAACTAATACTGGATCTGTCTCTTAACTGCTTAAATTCTCTCTCTTTTTTTTTTTTTTTAATGGAGACGGTGTCTCGCTCTGTCACCCAGGCTGGGGTGCAGTGGTGTAATCTTGGCTCACTGCAACCTCCGCCTCCCCGGTTCAAGCAATTCTCCTACCTCAGCCTCCCGAGTAGCTGGGACTACAGGAGCACGCCGCCACACCCAGCTAATTTTTTGTATTTTAGTAGAGACAGGGTTTCACCTTGTTGCCCAGGCTGGTCTCAAACTCTTGAGCTCAGGCAATCCGCTCGCTTCGGCCTCCTAAAGTGCTAGGATTACAGGCGCGAGCCACTGCGCCCGGCTTAAATTCTCTTCTTATCACCCACACTTGACACACAAAAAGGCTATTTGTTAGCCTTTTCATTTCACAGTTAGAATTTTTGTGCCCCATACCTATCTGCACTCTGATAAACCTGTCTGAAACCTATACTTGTGAAATGAACAATATTTTTCATTCAGCATGCCTTTTCCTGAATACCTTAGTCGTATAGCGAAACGGAATTAAACAAAAAGAAGACACCCTGAACTTTGATATTAAGTTTGGATTCAAAAATTTCTGAGCACACCTTTCTCATTTTCACTGGGGCCTACTATTGCTTGCTGAGGGTCAAGAATTAGGAGACGTGGACAGTGAAGACTGAGCCGTATGACTCCCAAATGGAATCCTGTTGAGGTCACTCTGTACCAATTGTTGAGAGCACCACCTACTGGATTCTCAACCTCAATCTCCTCTCAAGCATCCTGCATATAGTTGCTAGCATGGCTGGTAAATGAGAACTCAAAAAGTCATCCTGTCTTGAAGGGTACTTTGGGACCCAGAGGGACAGCCAGAGTGTGCTAAAGATTCTTTATATTACAGAAAAGTATAATAATTACATTACTTATTTCTTAAGCATGTAGATTTACCCCAAAATAAATCACATGGTGATACTCATCATGTAATGCTGTTATGTATTTTTCTGTCTGCTGATCTCAACTAACTCCTAATAGATTGTGCTACCCAATAGATAACGATGTATCTTTTATTAAAACATATGCTTAATTTTGTTGTTAAGTATTTATATTTCTACTATAAATACTTTAAAAAGTATTTGAGGTAGCGTTTATACTTGGATGGCCAGCAGTATTACGGAAGTCAATATAAACATTCTTATGATATTGAGGATGGCAGACTTGTTCCATCAGTAGTGGACTGCTCACCTTTGGACTCTTATATGAGAAAAAAAATTCCTGATTTACCTAAACCCCAATATTTTGGGGTTTCTTTGCATAACAGCCTAGCCTATACCCAAACTACTCTAGTCACACAGTAAGAAGCGGAGCTCTAATTTGAACCCACATGAGCCCATTTCCAAAAGGGAAGATCTTTTGATGCTATGGTGTCCCTCACTAATAAATTTTAAAAGAATAAACAAAATAAAGCTTATGAAAGAAATGGCAGTAAAAGAGAATGATAATACAATCTTGATTAATTCAGAGAAAGATATCCACTCTGAAAATTAGGCACACTGTTTCTATTCTATGATCCAATTTTAATTTGTTTGGTTTTTCCATTTTTACTATCTCTGTAATCTGAATGCATCTTATAATTGATGCTGTCTTAAATTGCTGTTAGGCAGGTGTCAGTCATGACACAGTTATGTGAAATCTTCTGTTGATAACTTTCAGTAAGTTTTGTTTTGTTCTGTTTTGTTTGAGACGGAGTCTCGCTCTATTGCCAGGCTGGAGTGCAGTGGCACAATCTCGGCTCACTGCAACCTCCGACTCCCTGGTTCAAGCGATTCTCCTGCCTCAGCCTCCCAAGTAGCTGGGACTACAGGCGCGTGCCACCATGGCTGGCTAATTTTTTTGTATTTTTAGTAGAGAAGGGATTTCACCATGCTGACCAGGCTGGTCTTGATCTCCTGACCTCATGATCCATCCACCTCGGCCTCCCAAAGTGCTGGAATTACAGGCGTGAGGCACCGTGCCCCGTTAGTAAGATTTTTTTTTTAAAGCACAAACCAAAGGGTCTTAAACTCAATGAAATAAAATAATATAGGAACCACAGAAAAAGTAATCCTAGACTACGAAAATACATGGAAGAGGAGCCAGAAAGCCATTTGGAAGAATCATAAAGAGTTGAAAATAATTAAGATGAAAGGTTTTTTTAAAGCGCTGACATAAAAAAAGGATAGGTATGAAAGGAAACTAATGTTGCAACAGCAGAACTAAAATATGCATTTGGAAATGGCTTTTTTTTTTTTTTTTTTTTTTGAGACGGAGTCTCGCTCTGCCGCCCAGGCTGGAGTGCAGTGGCGGGATCTCGGCTCACTGCAAGCTCCGCCTCCCGGGTTCACGCCATTCTCCTGCCTCAGCCTCCCGAGTAGCTGGGACTACAGGCGCCCGCCACCACGCCCGGCTAATTTTTTGTATTTTTAGTAGAGACGGGGTTTCACCGTTTTAGCCGGGATGGTCTCGATCTCCTGACCTCGTGATCCGCCCGCCTCGGCCTCCCAAAGTGCTGGGATTACAGGCGTGAGCCACCGCGCCCCGCCGGAAATGGCTTTTTAAAAGACAAAAATTGTTTTGCAAAAAATAGAAATAAGAAACAGAGAGCTAACCTAAATTTTTAAAAACCCAAAATAATTATTTTAGAGGAAGTAAGAGTATAGATGGAACAGAAGCAGTAATTGAAGATATTATGAAATAAGACTTGCTTGAACTGAATAAAAGATTTAAGTATGCAAGGCAAAAGGACATGCAATGAACTAGAAAAAATGAATTAAAATAAACACCCAGATACATGCTGCCTTTAAAATGTATAAAGGTAAAGAAGGAAAAAATCTACAATTAACCAGGCAGAAAAAGTGAGAAAGAGAAAAAAAGATAATCCACAAAAGAATACAAATTATTCTAGGTTCATATTTCTCTTCTTTCATATTAAATGCCAAAATACAACACACATGTCGGGAGATGTTGGAATGGAAGTCCAGGCATCTGTCCCTCCACCAAAGCAACAAGTCAACTGGCAGAGGCTATCTGAAACAACTACAGTTGACCCTTTAACAACACAAATTTGAACCGTAGATCCACTTATTCAGGGATTTTCTTCCACTTTTGCCACTCCTGAGGAAGTAAGATCGGCCCCTCCTCTTTCTCCTCCTCCTCAACCTATTCAACGTGAAGATGACAAGTATGAAGACCATTATGATGATCCAGTTTCATTTAATGAATAGGAAATATATTTTCTCTTCCTTATGATTTCCTTAATAACATTTTCTTTTCTCTAACTTACTTTATTGTAAGAATACATATGTATTATATGTGTTAATTGGATGCTTTTTTATCAGTAAGGCTTCTGGTCAACAGTAGACTATCAGTGGTTAAGTTTGGGGGAGTCAAAAGTTACATGTAGATTTTCAACTGCATGGGAGGTCAGTGCCCCTGACTCCCATGTTGATTAAAGATCAACTGTATTTTGGAATTCTGGTTCTAGTAGAACACATGCAGCACCCAGGAGAGAGTGCTGGATAAAGAGACTGGTAAATTTCAGAAAATTTTAGCTTTCCAGCAGTAGCCACTACCATCTCCTATCCCCTAAACCTGCAACAGGCACCTGAAGGGATGGCAGCAAGCATTCTTGGTGTGGCTTGCTGGAGCCAGGTGGGCAATAAGAACCTTGCCCTCCAAAAATCAGGGCTGTGTGTTTTGATTGCTGATTGCTAAAGGGCCAGCACAGAGGTCATCCATTGTTTCAACCTACAGGAACTGAAGAGGAGTTTCAAGAGGCATAATCTATTTTGCCTATTTTGAGAACCAGACACTTAAGGAAATGTTTGTAAGGTCACTAGTTGACTGACGAGACAATGAAGAGAAACTGCAGTTACCACATACAACAAGGAATATTCAATTTGCAACAATAATTTGAAAGGGTCACAAAAGGATGGCTCTAGTCCTTAACAAAGAAAACCTTGCAATCTCTGAGGAGTGGGAGAATTATATTTCCAGAGTCACTACAACACAATACTCAGAATGTCCAGTTCTCAATTTCAAAAAAAAAAAAAAAAAAGACAAAACATATAAGAACCAAGAAAGTATGACCCATTCATAGGAAATAAAGAATTTGACAGAAGACATCCCTGAAGAAGTCTAGACATTGGAATTATTGGTCCAAGATGTTAAATCAATGGTCTTAAATATGTTCAATGAGCTAATGGAAACCATGGGCAAAGAACTAAAGATCAGAAAAGTGATGTATGGACAATGAAAATAGCAATAAAATGAGAATACCAATAAAGAGATAGAAATTATAAAAATGAACCAACCAGAAATTCTGGAGCTGAAAGTTATAATAACTGATATTTAAAAATTACTACAAGGACTCAACAGATTTGAGCAGGCAGAAGAAAGGATCGACAAACTGGAACTTAAGAAATTTGATATTATCCTGTCAGAGGAGAACATGGTTTAAAAAAAAAAAATTGAACCACGTCTGAGAGAACTGTTGGACACCAGTTTGTTCTCACACTGCTATAAAGAATTGCCCAAGACTGGGTAATTTATAAAGAAAAGAGGTTTAATTGACTCACCATTCTTCATGGCTGGGGAGGCCTTGGGAAACTTACAATCATGGTGGAAGAGGAAGCAGTCACCTTCTTCATAAGATGGCAGGAGAGAGAAGAGTGAGCGAAGGAGGAACTTGCCAAACACTTATAAAACCATCAGATCTCATGAGAACTCACTCACTATCATGAGAACAGCATGGAGGAAACTGCCCCCATAATCCAATCACCTCCCACTAGGTTCCTCCTGCAACACCTGGGGATTACAGTTCGAGATGAGATTTGGGTGGGGACACAAAGCCTAACCACATCAGACACCATCAAGTGTGCCAACATATACATTATAGGAATTTTAGAAGGAGAAGGGAAAAGAGGGTAGAAAAACATATTTTATGAAATAATGGCCAAAATCGGTCTTAATCTGATGAAAGACATGAATATACACATGAAAGGAGCTCAACAAATTCTGAGCAAGATAAACTGAAAGGGATCCACAGTGAGACACATTGTAGTTAAATGGTTGAAACCTGAACACAAAGAGAGAATTTTGAAAGCAGCAAGAGAGAAACTAAGAGTCAAGTACAAAGAATCTTCAATAAGATTAACAGATGATTTCTCATCAGGAACCATATGAGCCAGAGGCAGGTGGATGACGAATTTAAAGTCATGAAAGAAAAAAACTGTCAACCAAGAATTCCACATGTGGCAAAATGATACTTCAAGAATACAAGTTTAGGCTGGGCGAGGTGGCTCATGCCTGTAATCCTAGCACTTTGGGAGGCCAAGGCAGGTGGATCACCTGGGTCAGGAGTTCAAGATCAGTCTGGGCAACATGGTGAAACCCCATCTCTACTTAAAATACAAAAATTAGCCAGACGTGCTGGTGTATGCCTGTAATCCCAGCGACTCGGTAGGCTGAGGCAGGAGAATCACTTGAACCCAAGAGGAAGAGGTTGCAGTGAGCCAAGATTGCACCACTGCACTCCAGCCTGGGCAACAGAGTGAAACTCTATCTCGAAAAAAAAAAAAACATAAAAAGAATGCAAGTTTATCTGGAAATAAAATTGTTCCAGATACACAAATAGCAGTATGTATGCCCTACAAGAAATACTAAATGGAGTCCTTCAGGCTGAAATGAAAGGACAGTAGACAGTAACTTGAAGATACGAGAAAAAAGTAAAGAACACTAGGACAGGTAATTTCATAGGTATGTATAAAATACAAATGCCTGTATTTTTGTACTTTTGGTTTGCTTTGTAGCTTCTCTTTTTCCTAGGTGATTGAAAAGGCAAATGATATACAAATAATAATTATGAATGTTAGTAGGCATGCAACCTATAAAGATGTAGTCTCTGAAAATAACAATATAAAAAAGAAGGGACAAAGATGTACAGGAGCAGGGTGTATACTATTGAAACTAAGTTGGTATTGTTCAAACTAAATGGTTATAAGTTTAAGATGCGAATTGTAACCACCAAGGTAACCACTAAAAAAGCAACTAAAAATATACAGAAAAGAAGGGAATAAAAATGGTACACCACAAAAAGTAACTAAATACAAAAATAACAGTAATGGAGGAATTGAAGAACAAAAAACACATAAGATGCACAAAAAACAAATAGCTAAAGGGCAGGAATATTTGTTCCTGCCTTATCAGTAATCATATTAAACATAAATGGATTAAGCTCTCCTATTAAAAGACAGATTGGTAGATTGAGTAAGAAAACGGGATATAGTAAGAAAAGGGTAAGAAAGTAAGTAAGGATAGTATATCTGTGTATATACTATCTACAAGAGACTCATTTTAGATATAAGGACACAAAGAGGATGGAAAAAGATGTTTCATGCAAATAGTAGCCAAAAAAGAGCTGGGATGGCTCCATTACTGTCAGGAAAAATGTACTTTATGTTTAAAAAGTTTATAAGAGCCAAAGAAGGACATTATATATTGATAGAAGTGCCAATACAGCAACAAGATATAACAATTATAAACATAAAGATACTTAACAAAGGTGCCCTAAAATATATAAAGCAAAAATGAACAGAATTGAAGGGAAAAATAGACAGTTCTACAATAATAGTTGGAGACTTCAGTACTCCACTTTCAATAATTTGATAGAACCAGAAGAGAGAAGGTAAGTACAGAAATAGATTGACAGAAGGTAAGTCCATAAAAAGAAATAAAGTTCTGATACATCCTACAACATGCATGAACCTTGAAAACATTATGTTATGCTAAGTGCAATAAGCCAGACACCAAAGGACAAATACTGTGTGATTCCACTTATATGAGGTACCTAGAACAGGCAAATTCATAAAGACAGAAAGTAGAATAGCGATTTACCAGGGGCTGGGGTAAGGAGTTATTGCTTTCTTCTTACAGAGTTTCTGTCTGGGGTGGTGAAAAATTTTGGGACTAAATAGCGATGGTCGCACAACATTGTGAATATAATTAACGTCACTGAATTGTGTACTTAAAAATAGTAGCCCCAACTGTTCAAGAGGCTGAGGCAAGAGGATCACTTGAGCCCAGGAGTTCGAGTCCAGCCTGGGAAACATTGCGAGTCTCTGTCTCTAAAAAAAAATAAAAATAAATTTAAACAATAGTTAAAAGGTAAATTTTATGTTATAAATAATTTACCATAATAAAAATAATAATGTAACGTAACAAAACCCAATGCACTGTACACTTTACATGGTATGTTAATTGCATCTCCATAAAGCTGTTTTAAAAAAAACTTTGAGGGGAACAAGTTGTGATCATAACACAGCAATCAGTTTTGAGAGGCAAAAGGTTGTCATTCAGGAATTTAGAAGGGCCAGGCATGGTGGCTCACGCCTGTAATCTCAACATTTTGAGAGGCTAAGGCAGAGAGGATTGATTGAAGCTGTGAGTTCAACATAGCCAGACTCTATCTCTACAAAAAATAAATTAAAAATAAAAGAATTTCATAGACAGCCAACTAGTTGCTCATGTATATGAGCAATAGAAAGACCTTTTATATATAGTAGAGCTTAAAGCATCTATCATGCATGTGCCCTTCTTCAAAAATTACTTGCAACTAAAGGCTACTCTTTTTCCTTCTCTTTTGCATTAGAGTTCAAACCCATCTCATTCCATGAATCCTTCTCAATACTTCATATTTTAAATTAATTTCTTCCTTTTCTCCAGTCAGTAGCTTCTCATTTGTATTTCCATTATTTCATTTATTATGATCTGTTCTTACTCATTTATATCCACTTTTGGTCTATATATTGCAGCCTCTTTGGGGAAGAAATCCTATTTCGAACATCCTTGTTATCCCCAAAGCACCTGACATAGTGCTTATTCACTTTAAGCACTCAACAAACCCTTGTTTTATTGAATTTTCTGAAGCTCTGCTCTCATTATTATACATTTTCATAGTCCGAAAAATGCCACTTATTTCAATTTCTTTGAAATTAAGTTTTTGTTTGTTTGTTTGTTTTTGAGACAGCGTCTCTCCTCTGTCACCCAGGCTGGAGTGCAATGGTGCAATCAAGACCCACTACACCCTTGACCTCCCACACTGAAGTGATTCTCTCGCCTCAGCCTCCTGAGTAGCTAGGACCACAGGTGCGTGCCACCACATCGGCTAATTATTTTTATTGTTTATAAAAATGGGTCTCCGTATGTTGTCCAGCCTCATCTTGAACCCTAGGGCTCAAGCAATCCTCCTACCTTGGCCTCCCAAAGTGCTGGGATTACAGGTGTGAACCACTGCGCCCAGTTGAGTTAGTTCTTAATTAAAAAAAAAATCCAAGATGTAACACTCTACAGAACTAACTTTGCAATGTAAATGAATGGTGTTTGACAAACAGAATAAATGAATAATGGGTGATTAAATATTTATTTGAAGCAATATGTACACTATTTAATTTTAATGGTTTCAGTCACTCATTCATTTTTGTGTGACATCCAAATTAATGGTTTTAATTTTCATAAGAACTTTATATTAGGGTCCTTAATACCAACTGGCCATCCAGGTGTAAAAGCTACCTTACATACTTTCAGAAGTTGGCCGGGAGCAGTGGCTTACACCTGTAATCCCAGCACTTTGGGAGGCCGAGGCAGGAAGATCACCTGAGGTCAGGAGTTCGAGACCAGCCTAGCCAACATGGCGAAACCCCATCTCTTCTAAAAATACAAAAAAAAACTGGGTGTGGTGGTGGGCGCCTGTAATCCCAACTACTGACAAGGCTGAGGCAGGAGAATCACTTGAACTTGGGAGGCAGAGGTTGCAGTGAGCCGAGATTGTGCCATTGCACTCCAGCCTGGGTGAGAAAAGCGAAACTCCATCTCAAAAAAAAAAAAAAGAAGAAGAAAAGAAGCATATGATACATGTAGGTATTCTTAATCCTACACCAAATATATTCTTATTCCACTTTAAATGGAAAGAGCAATCCCAATATGGTCAACTGTCACCAGAGAAGGACTAGCTCACCACTTAGGCAATTGTTGGGTGACTTTGAAGGGTGATATTGTTAAGCCACAAAAACCTGAGGGACCCAATCTCCATTATAGATACCAGTTGCACTTTATCTGAAGCACAAGGTTAAAGATCCCATCAGCAAGGTGGACATTGCTGAGTTCCCTTCTCTGTGCCTCTGTTCCTAACCAGTACTCATTTCCACTCCACTCATTTTCTGAGGGACTCAGTGTTTCTTTACCAGGATTAATACCTTTCACCAAATTACAGTCAACTTGACCTAGGGATTATTTTATTTTATTTAATGTAAACCCAGTGAGATTTATTTTACCACTGACAAATAAAGGAATCATATTTCCAATTTTAGACAATGATTGTAGCTTTCAAATTACACCCCATTTAAAAAGCAAAGAACAACAACAAACAATCTCAATCTCTCACTCTCTCTCAATCTTTTATAGAGTCTGCTGTGAAAGCTGAGCTAGCAGTGTTCGCTTGATAATGTCTGAAAAATGGTGATTACCATATAGCTCCAGTAATTTACTCTTGCAAAAATTAGTTGTTCACTTGCTACTGTGTGCCAGGTGTTAGATGTTTCTGTAGTTACAGCAGATTCCAAGACAGAAAAAAAATAGTCTGTATTACCCTGTTTTGAGTTGCTATAACAGAATAACACAGACTGGGGAACTTATTAGAAACAGATATTTTTTTCTTACAGTTCTGTAGGCGAAGTCCATGGTTGACGGCCTGGCAGGTGGTGAGGGCCTTTTTGCTGTGTCATAACATAGTGAGAGGCATCACTTGGAGACAGAGAATAGGAGCATGTCAACTTGGATCTCTCTCTCTCTCCCTCTTTTTTTTTTTTTTGAGATGGAGTCTCACTCTGTCACCCAGGCTAGAGTACAGTGGCACGATCTTTGCTCACTGCAACCTCTGCCTCTCGGGTTCAAATGATTCTCCTGTCCTAGCCTCCCAAGTAGCTGGGATTATAGGCGTGTGCCACCACACCTGGCTAATTTTTGTGTTTTTAGTAGAGATGGTGTTTCACCATTTTGGCCAGGGTGGTCTTGAACTCCCAACCTCAGGTGATCTGCCTGCCTCAGCCTCCCAAAGTGCTGGGATTACAGGCATGAGCCACTGCACGTGGCCTCTCTCTTTTCTTATGAAGCCACCAATCCCATAATGGGGGCCCCACCCTGCTGACCTCATCTAACCCAAATTACCTCCCAAAGGCTCCACTTACAAATACCATCAACATATGAATATGGCAGATTAAGTTTCCAACACACGAACTTTGGGGGACATATTCAACCATAGCATTACTTAAATAAGACTTTTTATTTATTTATTTTTCATTTCCTTGAGACAGGGTCTCATTCTGTCACCCAGGTTGGAGTGCAGTGGCACAACCTTGGCTCACTGCAACCTCAGCATCTCAAGTTCAAGTGATTCTCCTGCCTCAACCTCCCAAGTAGCTGGGACTTCAGGCATGCATGATCTCACCGGGCTAATTTTTGTATTTTTGGTATAGTCAGGGTTCCGCCACGTTGGCCAGGCTTTTCTTGATCTCCTGGCCTCAAGTGATCCACCCGTCTTGGCCTCCCAAAGTGCTGGGATTATAGGTGTGAGTCACCACGCCTGGCCAAATAAGACTTTTTAAATCGAATAACAGACATAAAAGCATGCAAGGCAAACGGCCACACATTGAACCAGGCAAAGGTGCCTTATCTACTGATGGCAGTGGTGGGCTGTCCAGAGCAGCTGCTGCCATGGTGCCAGCTGTGGCAGGCAGGTGCGACTGGTGATAGCAGGAGCAGCTATGGGAGCAGCAGTGGTGGCCATGGGTTCCTGTGCCCTGTGTCCCCCATGCCCTGTGTCCCAGAGGCAGCTGACTGTGCTGCCCACTCTTGTCTGGCTGGAGCTACATGCTCCACAGAGTCTGTGGGAGCCAGGAACAAGTGGGAACCCTGCCCCTTCTGAGTTGGTGAGGCAGGAGCTACCCGAGAGCAGCTGCTGCCATCCCACCGTGGCTGCAGACCCAGCATCTCTGCACTCTCTGGGGCCTGGGAAGGTCCCCTGCCCCTGTGAAGGGTTGCAAGTGTCTGCTCCCTCTGCCTGGCTTCTCTCCACTGTTGATGCCCCACTCCAATCTCAGAGCAGAGTCAGGGCCAAGCCTGGGGGCTGTTGCAGCCTGGCCAGCTGAGCACACACCTGGGGCAGTGCTGACACACCAGCCCCCTGCTGCCTTGCTCTCCTCCAGACTTTGGGCACCAACAAGCATGGGAGGGAGGCTGAGGGGGCGCTGAGGACAGCTGGGTGCTGGCCTGCAGGTGCTCCTTGGCATGAACAGCCTGGGCACCACGAACCACAGCAGAAGACAGGCTCCTGGGTGGAAGGGGGCTGATGCCCAGGAAAGCCCCACCTTCAAACTGGGGAGGGCCTGAAGCCTAGGGGCCAGGCCCCCAGTCCCACAGACTGGAGGGGGAACTTGTGGTGCTTTACCCCGGGCCCACACATGAACCAATCAGCACACACTTCCTCCCCTCTGAGGCCCATAAAAACCTGAGACTCAGCCAGACTCAAACAGAGGGCAGAGAGAAGACAGATGATAGGGAGAGGACAGGACAACCAGCTGCAGAGGGGAACTGCCCACCCCAGGGTCTCCTCTCTGCCAAAAGTTGAGGAGATGATGGGGGACCAGCTACAGAAAGGAACTAGACAGCTGAACACTCATTGGGGCACACTAGCTATGGAGAGGAGCTGCTCACTGAGGGTCTCCTCTGAGCTGTTCCATTGCTCAATAAACCTCCTCTTCATCGTGCTCATCCTCCACTTGTCTACATACCTCATTCTTCCTGGATGCAGGACAAGAACTCAGGACTCGCCAAATAGCAAGGCTAAAAGAGCTGTAATACAAACAGGACTGAAACAGGCTCCTTGCTTGCCACATTGCAGGCGAAGAGGAGAGAAGAGCTGTGGCCCCTCAGGGGGCCCAGACCTGGGAGCTCCCCAAGCCAGGGTTGTAACTCCCTCTTTGGGGCCCTGCAGTTTCTGGCGTCTTCAAGCTTCTGGGTGCCACCGCATTCCCTCG
The DNA here is from genome assembly GCF_000001405.40 of Homo sapiens. Classification (NCBI taxonomy): domain Eukaryota; kingdom Metazoa; phylum Chordata; class Mammalia; order Primates; family Hominidae; genus Homo; species Homo sapiens. The sequence goes on from NC_000001.11 coordinate 236,786,514, forward strand.
TGCCAGCTGAGGAAGCTGCTTGAGTTGCACCTGGTTCAGCCGCAGCCTCACAGAGATCTGGCACCCATGCTGGCACCGGGAGCAGCTGGCGTGTCTTGACTGTGCACAGTGGCCGGACCCCGTGCTCACTCACATACCCCTCGCCGTTCTATGCCTGACTCACACTCTCCCTTGGAGGCATGGGATCCAGGCTGGTAGCGTGAGCCGAATACAGCCTTCCAGGACGAGTGGGCCCAGCGGGCCTGAGCAAAACTCGGGCAAAGGCGCCACTGGCCACAGAGGTTTCTGGCCAGAAAAGCAACAACTGCAAGGATCCCATAACACTACCAGAGCTCAGGGAAGTTTTGTACTAATATTCTGGGGATGATGTTTGGTGATCTTCTTCTAAACAAGCCATGTAGGACTATCTCCCATTGAAAATGTAGCCTACTTAAAATTCCAGGATTTCATGCTAAGATGAATTTTGTTTAAATATAAGGATGCAGCAACATTTTATAAGCTCATTTCATAATGTAAATTGAGGCCAGTAAATCTGAATAACAATTGAAATTATAAGCAATTTGGCGAACCCATTTTTCTGGGGAGAAAATGCTTTCATCAGCTTCCCAAAGAGTAGTATTAGTGATTAAGAGCATGAACGCAGGACACAGTTTTCCTGGGTTTGAGGCCCAGCTGCACCATCTATTAGAAGTGTGACCTTGGACAAGTCATTTAGCTTTTCTTTGTCTTGGTTTTCTTACTGGTAAAAGAAGGACAATAACAGCACCTGGCTTATAGAGATCTTTCTCCATCACACCCATCTTGTTTTTTAAAAATTTTATTTTTTAATTTTTTTTGAGATGGAGTCTCACTCTGTCATCCAGGCTGGAGTACAAAGTCGTGATCTCTGGTCACTGCAATCTCTGCCTCCTGGGTTCAAGCAATTCTCATGCCTCAGCCTCCCAAATAGCTGGGATTACAGGTGACCACCACCATGCTTGGCTAATTTTTGTATTTTTAGTAGAGACAGCGTTTCGCCATGTTGGCCAGGCTGGTCTCAAACTCCCGACCTCAGATGATCCACCAGCCTCTACCTCCCAAAGTGTTGTGATTATAGGTGTGAGCCACTGCACCTGGCCCCCATCTTATTTCATAATGATATGTTTGATTACTGTTTGTCTTACCCACTAGGTTGCAGGATGAGTCTGTTTAATCTCATCATTTTAGCCCAGTGTCTGACATCACAGTCTCAATAAATATTTTGTTAAATACATACATACATAAGTCACAGTCCCCCAAATTTATAGAATTTCTACTATTGGATCTATAAATACAAGAATACCAAGAACACCTTTCTTTTAATGACTTTGAATTATGTTCCAAATACGATAGATATTCTGGGTTTCAACTTGTTTGTCTTAATTGAACCTCACCTTCCAGGCAAGGCCAGAAAACAATACTGGCTAGTTCCCTTAATTCTTTTAAATCACCTCTGTTTTTAAATGTGTCGTCTAGAGGCAAACAAAAGCAAGCTACCAACGTGGATTAGATTACTGAACATTGTAATCATTAAACATTAACTAATCTCTTTTTGTAGTTATGAGAAGAGAATTTGTTCTCAATGAACTCTCTACAATTTAAAAATTATTTCTGGTCAGGTGCGGTGTCTCATGCCTGTAATCCCAGCACTTGGGATGCTGAAGTGGGAGGATCACTTGAAACCAGGAGTTTGAGACCAGCCTGGGCAACATAGTGAGACCCTGTCTCTATCAAAAAAAAAAAAAAATTAGCCAAGTGTCATGGTATGTGCCTGTAGTCCCAGCTACTTGGGAGGGTGAGGTGGGAGAATCACTTGTGTCCCGGAGTTTGAGGCTGCAGTGAGTCATGGTTGTGCCATTGCACTCCAGCCTGGATGACAGAGTGAGACCCTATCTCTAAAAAATAAAAAATAATAATTAGTTCTGATTTTCCTCCATGTTCATTATCTACATTTCCAGGATTCAAAGGTAAGACTTTTAAAAGTGGTCGTAAGAGTGCTGTTCCCTCCTATAGCTCATTTTTCAAAGTAAAACATTTTAGCAGTTATCAAGTTTAGCTCTTAGTTTACCATTTTAAGCAGATTAAATACCATATTCCTGCCTGTTAAACAAAAATATTTGGCTGTATTCTTAGGCAAAACCAAACCAAACCAAAAAGCCCCCCAAAAAATTCACAAACCAAACAAAATCCACAAACCAAACCAAACCAAAACAAAAAGAAAGCAAAACCAGTCACCCAGTCACACCTTATTTGGATTTTTGGAAAAAAAAGTCTTTTAAAAGTCCTTGCAATTAATCCTATAAGTGCTCCCCCCACCTTTATTTCTTGGATACTGATATTTTCAGTATTTGGAAATAAAGTTTGCTTACTCAACCCTAACTTACGGTGTTGGGTGCTGGCACAGGGCTCCTGAATCCCCACTCCAAGACTCCTTAGTTTTATGAGGCCTTGGCTCGCTCTTCTTTCTTCTTGTGTCTTGTTTCTTTTTTCTTTTCTTCTTCTTCTTCTTTTTTTCTTTTTTTTTTTTTGGGACGGAGTCTTGCTCTGTTGCCCAGGCTGGAGTGCAGTGGCACCATCTTGGCTCACTGCAACCTCTGCCTCCTGGATTCAAGTGATTCTCCTGCCTAAACCTCCCAAGTAGCTGGGATTACAGGTACCTGCCACCATGCCCAGCTAATTTTTGTATTTTTAGTAGAGACACAGTTTCACCATCTTGGCCAGGCTGGTCTTGAACTCCTGACCTTGTGATCCATCTGCCTTGGCCTCCCAAAGTGCTGTGATTACAGGTGTGAGCCACCGTGCCCAGCCTTCTTCTAGTAACTTCTTTAAGCCGCAATTTCTGCTCCTCTAAAATAGGGGCAATTATATTGTGAACCCAAAATATCTGAGACGAGTCTCAGTCAATTTAGAACGTTTATTTTGCCTACATTAAGGACACGCCCATGGCACAGCCTCAGGAGCTCTTGTCGACATGTGCCCAAGGTGGTGGGGCACAGCTTTGTTTTATACATTTTAGGGAGACATGAGACATCAATCAATATATGTCAGATGTACATTGGTTCAGTCTGGAAAGGCAGGACAACACAAAGTGGGAAGGGGACTTCCAGGTCATAGGTAGGTAAGAGACAACTGTTGCATTCTTTTGAGTTTCTGACTAGCCTTTCACCAAATATGCAATTTACAGGAATAGTCACTTACGCCTAGTCTGGCTTAGTGAAACTATAGGGCAGAGCAAGCAATCAGATGTGCATTTGTCTCACACGAGCAGAGGGATGACTTTGAGTTCTGTCTGTCCTTTGAGATTTTCTTGTGGGCACATTGTGAGGGAGGGAGGTATATAGCTTTCTAAAAAATCTTTGTAGCTATCTTATTTAGGAATAGAATGGAAGGCAGGCTCGTTCAATGGAGTTCCCAGCTTTAACCTTCCCTTTGGCTCAGTAATTTTGGGGTCCCAAGTTTTTTTTTTTTTTTTTTTTTTGAGATGGAGTCTTACTCTGTTGCCCAGGCTGGAAGAGTGCAGTGGCATGATCTCAGCTCACTGCAACCTCTGTTCCCAGGTTCCAGGGATTCTTCTGCCTCAGCCTCCTTAGTAGCTGGGGCTACAGGTGCACACCACCATGCCTGGCTAATTTTTGTAATTTTAGTAGAGAT